>NW_003571050.1:204135-408271 GCF_000001405.40 Homo sapiens
AAGGAACTTTGTTGTAACTAGAATCATGACCACTGTGGATTGATTTTTTAAATGTCAGATTTATGTAAACAGAATCCAAAGTTTTCTTATCAAAAGAATCCAAGGTTTTCTTGGAAAGTGCAAAAAGGCCAATACTCTTTAAAATCTGCTTGCTGCTAATATGTTTGTATAAGTCTATTGTTAACAAGCTCATTAACACAAACACACACATGCATACACGCCCCTCATGGATGGGAGGAATTATTGTGCTGTAATTTCCAAAATGGAAAACCAATTTCAGGCAAGTCGTCCAGGTTGAAATAGCCCTATTTTCCCTCTCACCCTTTTCAGTCAATTTTCAATATTTATAAACTTATCTCTCGTGCTTAAGCTTTTGAATAAGTTATTCTCTCGAATCTAGCTAATATTTAAATATGAATTGTTTAATTAAAATATTCAGCAATTTTTAAAATATTCCTTGGGCACTTATTAAAAAATATGTATTTTCCACTGAAGACTCTAGACTTCCCTTGGTATGAATATTCACTTTTATTTTTCTGTTTAATTTATTTTTGATTATGCTATTAAGAAGAATAGATGTTAGTATTAGTCTCCAATCTTGTTTTTTACTTCTTTTTCAGGTTTTTACAGTATAATTGTTTCTAAGAGATCTTGGAGTCAGACTGCCAAGAGAGGAAACCAGTTTTTCTGCTTCATATACCGACGATTCTGAGACTCCATTTCACAACTGCTCTCTGCCTCAGTATGATCACCAAAAAACACAGATGATAATATTATCTTTGGGTAGTCTTTGTGAGGAGTTAGTATAGCATTTGTATAACTGCTTTCCATTTTACCTGTCTGGGACAGGAAAAAACAAAGATGGTTAGTTACTGATTTGATCCTGTGTTACTAGATATTTAGAAGGTGCCAGTGAAAACTTCCATTTCTTTTCTCCTTTTCTTTTTTTTTTTTTTTTTTTCTGAGACAGGCTCTTGCTCTCTCACCCAAGCTGGAGTGCAGTGGCACAATCATACCTCGCCGTAGTCTTGAACTCCTGGACACAAGTGATACTCTTGCCTTCCTGCCTCAGCTTGCCAAGTAACTGGAACTACAGGCATGCACCACCAAGCCTGCTAATTTTAACATTTTTGTGGAGACAAATTTCCAAGAACGAATGCAAACACACAGAGTTGACAAAATGATAAGTAGAAATTTTAACATGTCTGAAGAGACAAAAAGAAAGGAAAAATGCAGGCCTAATAACACAGATTGTGATTCCTTTAATATCTAGACCTTAAATTGGATATACACTTCATTCCTAAATGTGTAATAATATTCTTTGTGCTTCTAAATTATTTGACTAATGTCAACAGAAAAGCACCAGCATATGCTAATGGATGAGTTCAATGCTGCATTTATGGAAAATTTTCTTATTCCCAAAATAGCTGAAATTGAATCCTATTCCACTGTCTGTTCTTGCTATACGCTGAAATTTTTAAAACTGATGTTGAAGTGAAAGGTGAATTCCCGTTTGCTAGTATGCAAAAAAAGACATATTCTTTTTCATTGTTTTGCAATGTTTTTCCTTGTTTAACCTCTCCATAATTTGTATTCAGCATTTTCAGTTGTTTCATAGGGAAATTTTAAAACCCAATACATATGTCATACAGTAAATGTCTAAACTGTTAAAAGAGCTTGGTCATACCTAGGATCGTATAAATATGGATTTATTTTTTAATGCTAGATTTAAATATACAGAACCCAAACCTTTTATCAAAATCATCCAAGGTTTTCTTGGGAACCACAAGAAGGCCAATACGCCTTAAAATCAGGTTGCTGCTAACCAATACTTTTATATGACTTTATTGTTAACAAGCTCATAAACACAAAAACACACACTTAAACCCATTGGGGTTGGAAGGAATTATTTTCTTTTAATTTAAAAAAATGAAAAAATGAGTTTCCAGAAGGTCATCCAGGTGGAATTAGTTCTGTTTTCCCACTCAGGGTTTTCAGACCAGAATAATATTTATCAAACATATTTCTCATGCTTAGGCCTTTGGTAAAGTTACTCTCAAGTCTATTTAATGTTTAAATATTAATTATTTAATTAAACTATTCAGCTGTTTTGTAAATACTCTTGACTCCCTCATCCTTTGATATATTATCTTGCAGTGTCCTCCTGCCATAGGCAGGGTGACTACCTTGACCTTGGAATCTGAGCTCACTCATGTAATTTGCTTTGATGAACTGGAAATTAGTAAATTTTGTATACGTCTTTGAGATGGCTTCCACATTGGAGTTTCTTGCTCTTCTCCATTTACCACAAGCACATCCCCACACTAGTACACCATTCCCAGAAGCAGAATGAGAATGAGATCACCCCCTCCAGATGTAGCCTAAATTGGCCAAACTCTAACTTCAAGATGCAGAACATGGCCCATCTCAAATTACCAGAGTGATCCACCCAAACCCAGCTTAGGAAAATGGAATCTAAAGACATGTGAGATATAAATATCTAATGTAGTTTTGGAGAAGTTTCTTTTTAAAATGATGCTAAATGATAGAAATACTTTGCTAAGCCAAGAGAGTGGGAAATATGTCTACCCTTGTTGTGTCAAGAATCCTGAAGCCAAGGGAAAAATAGATGAGGAATATCAAAGTTTTGTCATGTGAGGTGCATAATTAAAGCTGAAAGAAAAAAACTGAAATAAAGCTACGGAAAAATACGGGGTTGGCAGGTGACATGATGTCAAATTTCTACAAGTTGTAACTAAAATAAGAAAGTTTCTACTTCAACTCTCTAGAGTTGTATAAGAATGCATATAAGTAGTTTCTTTTCCCCTTAGTACGTAATGAGAAGATTAATAATTTCTATGAGACATTTCTCCTAATTCAAAATTTTTATATTAAAATTATAATGCATACATAGAAATGTGCCAAAACAAAACTGGAAAACTGGGAAATAGAGCAATGTATCATAAACAGTCGAGTAACCATCATGTAGGGCAAGACAAGGAACACTGCAAACAGCCTAGTTCCACCTCCATGACACTTTCCAAGCCTCTATACCTTTCTTCATATCTCCTGAGGTAAGCAATATCCATTATTTGTGATGATCATTTCCTTGATTTTCTTTATACTTTATCAACAAGGTATGCAACCCTAAACTCAATAGCTTGGTTTGGCCTGCTTTGAACTGTGTATAGGTGCAATCCTATATGTTCTTATTCATGGCTTCCTGGACTTAACATTATGAATCTGAAATTTAATCAGACAGATGCATGTACATGTGATTTATTTCTTTTCATTTCTCTATATTGTTTAATTTTATGAATTTACTATAATTATCTATCCTTAGTTGATATATACTTGGACAGCTTCTTTTATGAACTATTATGAATAATGCTACTATGAGCATTCTTTCATATACATTTGCTACAATTCCTTTGCATATATGCCTAGGTATAGAATTATAGGGTCCTTGATTAAGATGTACAAATTCTGCCCACAGACATAGAAAAGTCCAAAAAATACTTTAACTAAATTTATTTCTGTAACTCCAGTCTCTTTATTACTATTTGCATATATCTTATCAATTACACCTTTAGTCCAACAAGAAGATACTATTATTTTAGATGGTAAACATTCACTTATAATTATGTACATATTTATCATTTTCATTAATTTTTATTCCTTCTTGCATGCTCAATTTTGTATTTTTGGTAGTTTATATTTTATCTGAAAAAATATCATTTTTAATTTCTGTCTATAAAAGTCTACTGTTCCTTGGAAACACACTGAAGATATGATTCCATTGAATTCCCGCTTTCATATTTTCTGTTGAAAATCAGTTTGTTATTTAGAATGTGGCTCTTTTTAACATAATCTACCTTTCACCTCTAGCTACTTTTCAGATTTTCTATTGGTCTTTGATGTCCTGTGTCATTTTATTTTAAATTTTTTAGTTATCTTGTCCAAAATTTGATGGCTCCTAAATATATAGAGATGGAAATATATACATTTCATCATTTTTGGAAAAATTTCCCAAACATTGCTTTTGCCCCATTTCTCATCTCTAATCCTCCAGAACTCCAGAAGTATGTTAGATATTCTGACCATAGCGTCAGTGTCTCTTACCCTCCAGCCTTGTATTTTTCTGGAGTTGTTAGTACTCTAGCCATGAAAATAGTAACAATTTTCTTCTATTCCCAACTCTGGTCAGATAATAGAATAAAAGCTTGGTCTAGCCATGTTCCTGCAATTTTAAAGAAACCGGATATTAATTTGATGTGAGTAGCTTTTTCTGGAAAACAGCTTGTCTGTTGCTGGGTCCTCACACAAACTCTCCTCATATGGAAATTCAATAAGCAGCTTTGGATCTCAAAATGCAATTCCAATAAATAAAAAATAGTCCCTAAACCACAACTACATCATTCTATTTTATGAACTAATTTTTACTTTGTTTATGTTGTAGAAATGGGGCTCTGTGACTTTGAACTCCATCATTACCCAAGCGAGATAGAGAAGATGTGAGGGCTTACTTCTGTTTGATTTATTTAATCTAAAATCCTCTCTTTAGGAATAAGAGCTTGATCATGAAACAGTTTAATTGCCTTTCTAATTAAGGAATTTTATTTACACTAAAATCAAACTCTTTCTTATAGCCTTCAATGGATTAGTTTAAGGTCATCTACAATTACTTGCTTAAGCAATGCATTTTAAACTAAACTTCACTTAATTTCTAAATCTAAATGTATTCAGCTTGACTTGAGCTTTGCTTTTACTAATGCAAATTTCCCAAAATGATAATCTTTTAAAAATGTCTTAGACATTATCAAAATCATGTACAATGAAAAATAAATCATTTAATGAGATAGGTGTAGATGATTGATGATGATGTTGATGTCAGCTAAAAGGGACTATTTTATTCTGTAAATGTGACTTCAATCATGTTTCCTAAGTGCTGGAATTCAGGGCAATGGGAGAACACTATTTTAATTTTTCTTCATGGCCTTATAATTCTTATATTATTCTCAGTATCAGGTCTAGACAAACACCCTCAGGTAATATTTCATCAAGAATAACTTAAAACCAACATATTCCCAATGATTTACTTGATATTGTTTCATTTTACCACATTCTAAAGTGTGGTACAATAAAAAATACTTCGCCTTAATCAGGTAATGCCATATTCAGCCAAAGTAATTGTACTTTATAATCCTAAGAGTAGTGTATGAAAATTTCTATTGTGTCATATCCTTTCCAAAATTAGTAACATCAGATTAAATTTTACACTGATATTTACATACACTATTATTAAAGTTAACATTTTAGAAACATTTTTCTATTATAATTCAGAATGTATTTTTAGTTCAAAAAATTATGTTGCTTTTTAATTACATGACTGATTTCATGCACATTTATTAAGAATGAATTATATATTCCATATATTTATTCATATTTCTTTATTAATTTCTCTATTTTTTCTTGAAGTTTCAAATACTCTTGTTATGAGCAGGTGTAATTATACTACACATATTTCTTTAATCAATCATTATGTCAAATGAATTTGAGAAATTATGATTAGTTTGTAGCATATTGTAAGGGAAATTTCAGGATTGTTTAACAACTCCTAAAAGAACTCAAAGGAAAAAAATGTTAAAATGTAAAAGTAGTCTATAAGTTTAACGTAGGTGTCCACAGGAAAAAATAAATTCTACCATTACTAGCACAAAAAAAGATTGGTAATAAACCTACCATGTCTGAATTTTTTTAAGGCAGGCGTATTATCACTGGACAAGATTCTCTGTAAGGTCCTGACCTTAAATTCTATGTGCACCTGATTTCTGAATGTGCAGTAATGTTCTTTTTCCTTTTACATTCTCTGACCAGTGTCAAACAGGAAAGCACCAGGGTGTGCTAATGGATGAGTTTGAGGCTGTCTTTATGGAGAACACAATAATTCCCAAAACAGCTCAATTAAATTTCTATTCAAACACTATGTCCTGGCTATAAGATGAAATTTTTCATGCTGTTGTTGAAGTGAAAGGTGAATTCTCATTTGCTAGCATGCAAATACAGACATATTTTCCTTCATTGTTTTGCAATATTTTTCCTTGTTTAACCTCTCCATAATTTGTGTTCAGCAATGTCAGTTGTTATGGAAATTTTAAAACCCAACTCATAATTCCTACATTGGATGTCTAAACTGTCATATGGAACTTGGTCATAACCAGAATCATGACCACTGTGAATTTATTTTTTCAATGTCAGATTTATGTAGACAGAATCCAAAGTTTTCTTATTAAAAGACTCCAAGGTTTTCTTGGGAAGCCCAGGAAGGCCAACATTCCTTAAAATCTGGTTGCTGCTAACTAATACTTTTGTATAACTTTATTCTTAACAAGCTCATTAACACAAACTTATGTGCCCACACACATACATGCTCCTCATGGATGGGAGGAATTATTGTCCTGTAATTTCCAAAATGGAAAATGAATTTCAGGCAGGTCATCCAAGTTGAAATAGCCCTAATTTCCCAATCATGTTTTCAGCCCATTTTCAATATTTATAAACTTGTGTCTCATGCTTAGGCTTTTGAGTAAGTCATTTTCTTGAGTCTAGTTAATATTTAAATATGAATTGTTTAATTAAAATATTTAGCAATTTTGTAAATATTCCTTGGGCACTTAAAAAACATGTGTATTCCATTGAAGAGCCTACACTTCTCTGTATGTGAATTTTCACTTTTATTTTTCTCTAATGTATTTTTTATTATTTAATGGTTTAAGATGAATAGATGTTAAAAATCGGTCTTCAATATTGGATATTATTTCTTTCCAGTTGTTATAGTATAATTGTTTCTAGGAGAAGATCTTGGAGTCAGTCTGCCAGGACAGGAAGCCAGATTTTCTGCTTTATATAGCTATGATCTGAGACTCCATTTTACGAATTCTCTCTACCTCAGTATAATTATGTATAAAACGCAGATGATAATAATACTCTGGGTAGTCCTTATGAGGTGCTAGTATAGTATATGTATAACTGCTTTCAATTTTACATGTTCAGTGCAGGCAGGAACCGAGGATTATTAGTTATTCTTTCGATTCTGTGTTACTTGATACTTAAAAGATACCAGTGAAAACTTCCACTTTTCCTTTTTTGTTTTGAGAAAGGATGTTGCTCTGTCGCCTAGGCTGGAGTGCAGTGGTAGTTCACTACAGCTTTGTACTCCTGGGCTCAAGAGATCCTCCCACCTCAGCTTCTGGAGTAGCTGTGACTATGGGCGTGCACCAACACAGCCAGCTAATTTTTCAGTTTTTTTGTAGAAATGGGGTCTCCCTATGTTGCCCAGTATGGTCTTGAAAACATGGGCTCATACGATCTTCCCACCTTGGTCTCCCAAAATGCTTGGATACAGGCGTGAACTGCACCTAGCTGAGAACTTCCATTTTTGAGCAGAATACAGAAGGTTCAGAAAGGCAAGATATCCTTCTGCAACAACTAGGATAAGAGTAATAAAAGGCAAAAATTATATATTCAATTCATCACAGAGTTGTACAAGCAAGGAGGGCCAGCTGAACTGAAATCCAGCACAAGGAGAGTCTTTGCAGGTGAAGGGTCAACTTATATACTCAGTGCAATCCCTATCAAATCCCAACAAGCCTGTTTTGCAAAAAGTGAAAAACCAGTCCTAAAATATATCTGAAAATACCCAGTGACCAGATCACCAAAATAAATCTTGATAAAATAACACATTTGGAGGATTACACTTTCTGGTTTCAAAGCTAACTACAAAGCTGCACTAATCAGAATTCTGTGGTACTGGCATTACAGTAGACAAAAGAACAATGAAACACAACTGAGAGTCCAGAAATTAACACTGACATTGATGGTAATTGATTTCAAAAATGGTACCACTGCAGTTCAATAGGAATTAATCATTTTTTCAACAAATGATACTGAGAACATTGAATATCCACATGCATAAAGATAAATTTCTATTCTTATTTCACACCATACACAAAAAATAACTCATATTTAATTGATTATAGAGCTAAATGTAAAAAGTGAGATTAGTAACTAAGATACTAAAACATACTAACTGTACAATTGCAAGTAATACAAGTGGGTTAATCAACCATAATTCTATCTGTGTATTTCTCTACTTAGATCATTATGTCTATAATAATAATAATCCCCTGCCTATCAATCTATTGATATTAAAATTACTATTTTAAATAAAACTAAATTAGATGCTGGGCTACCCTCAATCTCATTTAGTGGAAATTCAAGCAAAAATATTATTGATTCTCCCTAGATTTTTATTTTTTGAGACATGGTCTCACTCTGGAGCCTAAACTGGAGTGCAGTGGTTTGAGATTGGCTAACTGCAATCTATAGCTCCCAGCCTCAATCTGTTTCCCACCTTGGCCTCCCAAGTAGCTAGGACTACAGGTGGACACCACTATACCTGGCTAATTGTTGTATTTTTACTAGAGACTGGGTTTCACCATGTTTCCCAGGTTGGTCTCCAATAATTGGGCTCAAGAAATCTGCCTGCCTAAGCCTCCCAAGGTGCTCAATTACAGGCTTAAGCCACAGCATCCACCCTGGTACTGTTACTTCAAAATGTACATTTGACATTTGAAGGAAAAATATTTACATAATGTGCTATATGCCAACATGCGTGAATAAATAAATAATATAAATGGATAATCAGCCTTATTCCTGTCTGTTGAATCACTTGGCTACATTGTCAGTAAAGAGATTACATGAGATCACCAACACAACAGGCATCATTGTAGAGATTGAAGAATTGAGACCTTGGGCAGTCTGATATTTTCAGTTTAGAGACAAAAGAGAACTAGCAAAGGAGATTGAGAAGTAGTGCCCAGTGGATAAGGATAAAATCAGGAGAGGGCAGCATCCTGAAATCTAAATAAACTAAGTTCAATGCAGCTAATAGAGCATGCAACATGATGACTAACCTTGGGAACATAGACTCTCTGGTGATCTTGCAAATGTCAGAATCAATGAACTGATGACAGCATCAGCTTCTTGGAATGAGTTCATAAGCCAATAGTTAAAGAGGCTTCATACTTTGAAAAATACTTATAAACCAAGAGCAAGCCTTTTCACTTCAAAGGCTGAAAAACTGATTCCTGAGGTCAGCCTTTGAAGTGGAAAATCAAAGAACCTCAACCTGTTGTCAGGACTGAGCCAATTCCGAGAACAAGAATTCAATAATTGAAGGAAAGTGTAAGTCCCCTTGAAAAGGATGCTGAAAATTCACCACAAGAATATTCAGGACGTATTCATACGGTGCTTTCTCAAAGACCTGTAGCCATTTCCCAGATAACAGTACCCAGAGGAAAGGACACACATCCACACCATCTGAGACTTTTAGGTATAGGGCTCTTACAGTAGATAGTTAGTCAGGCATGAGCGGGGCAGAAGAAGGCTCTCACCACCCACCAGGAATGTCAGGTGGCCATCAGGTGATGGCCTGGCAGTTGTCACACTGCCTCTCTAAAAATGATAATTGCTCACAGGCACCAGGGAGAGGCAATTTCACAATAAGTAAAGATGCTTAAAATTGCTAGTCAGCAGCTCAGGAATAGGGCGAGTAGGCTGAGGCATACGTGTTAAGAGAGAAAAGGGTAGAAAACAACCTTCTGGGGGCATTCCACCAAAAAAGGGAAGAATGCCTCATGCAAGCATGTGTACAACTCCAGTAAACACACTGCGCATGCTCACCTCCAAAGTGTTAGCAGGCCACCACACATGTGAGCAGCCCACCCTAAGGGGCTGAATCATGGGAAAAGGAACACAAGACCCTAAGGGAAGAATCGTGGGAAAAGGAACACAAGACCCCAGAAGTATACCAACATATAAAACCACAAGTCAAAGGTCTAACACTGCACTTGACCTCCAAAATGCCCACTGTGGTCTCTTCCAAGTGTACTTTCCTTTCTTTCCTGCTCTAAATCTTTTTAATAAACTTCCATTGCTGCTCAGAAACTTCCCTCAGTCTCTTTTTCCGCCTTATGCCCCTCAGTTGAATTCTTTCTTCTGAGGAGGTTAGACTTGAAGTTGCTGCAGACTCGTACCAAATTGCCTCCAGTAAACCAGATATTGGCCACTCCAACAGAGCCTGAACTAACAGTAATATCTGGGTACTCAAAAGACACTGCAGTCCATGAGATGAAGTGGGAGATTTTTTAAAATTTTCTTTTTGTGTGTGTGTTATTTGCATTTGGGTTTTTTAGATACACAGTCTCAATCCTTCACTTAGGAGGTATGTAGTACAGTGGCAAATCATAACTCACTACAGCCTTGAATTCCTGGGTTTGTAACAGAGTGCCCCATTTTTTCTAAGAAACAGGGAATGAGTTACTATTTTTTTATTATTATTTTCTCTTATCTCCCCTTTCCTTTTGTTCCCTGTTTCCTGCTTAGCCCTTCATAAATGCAAATATAACCTTTCACCCCCACTCACTAGACATTCCCTGCAGGGCACGTTCTTCTAACTATGTGCAGCAAGACAGATCTCTTCTGAGAATTGACAGTCAATTTGCAGACCAAAGCACACCCACCAAGGAATGTTTACCTCCAGGAAATGGACTTGGAACTTCCAGACTGTGCTCCACTCTGGGAGTTGCCTGAGGACTTTCACCCAACAGAAGGGCATATTGAAAGCATACCCACTTGGCCACTTTTACAAGTTACTTCTGCACAGGAAGGCACCAATTCAACTGTCTGATAGATAAGGCACCAAGCCTGCATGAGGACCCTCTACCCTTGCTCAGTATCCCTCCTTACCTTATAAAAGTGTCTGCTTTCTGCTCCAAAGGTGAAGTGGTACACTTAAAGGCAAGACACTTTGTGCTCCTTCCCCAAGCTAGGTTTGGAATAAATTCATTACTTTTGTACCAGACCTCACTTTTGTTAACTGGACACTGCATGCGGCCAGCAACGGACTCGCATATTGGTTATAGGTCCAAAGGAGTCTCCTGTCTCATCTTTCTGGGTAACTGGGACTACAGGTGAGTACCACCATGCCAAACTAATTTTTTGTTGTTGTTTTTTCTGTTTTTTAGTTTTTGTACAGACAGGCTGTCACTGTGTAGCCCAAGGTGGTCTGCAACTCTGGGCCTCAAGAGATATTCCCACCTCCGCCTCCAAAAGTGCGGGGACTGCGGGCATGAGCCATCATACCCAGCCTGCAGAGGGAGTTTTGAAGGTCAGATGCTACCTAGAGTTTTGACTCATGTCCATCCCAAGGTGGATCTAATCAGTTTGCCGTTATTGCCTCTTCTTGAATGTGTAATGGACACACATGGCAGCTGGCAGGACTCTCACTTTCTTCCTGACCTGTAGAGTCAGGGACATTATTAGAGCAGAACCAAGGGGAAGCCTGTGAAATTCTCCTCCACTGGCAACAATGATTGAAAAATAATAATCACATTCTCCAAGGAATGGAATTGATCACTACCATGACAAAACACTTGAAAGTTGCAGGGGATGGTAGTCTTTTTATATGCCTATCCACTTAACCTATCTGGCCTCTACCAAAACCAGATACACTATAAAATGAATGCAGATTTCCATAAATTTAAATCACTACTTACAAATGCTCTCTAGGATGTGGTATCTTCCCTGAGCAGAGCAGAGCTCCTGGCAGTTTGCATGTGGCTCTTGATTTAGTGAATGTTTCTTATTTTACACCCATGGGTGGGTCAGCAGATTAAAACAATTGGCCTTTGTGTGGTAAAAACAAGAGCACTGCTTCACTGTTTTATGTCAGGGCTTTGTCACTTCTGCTCTCAGTTTAATTTACATTTTGGAAAACATCATGTTAATTTAATATATTAATAATGTTACGGTAATTGGTACAATAACCAGGAAATGGAAAGTTACCTAATTATAGTAAAATACTTAAACATTAAATAGAAATAAAATATCAGAAGAAAGAGACATGCCTGAAAATATTTAGAGAACACCAACGCAGATATTGTTTTCAGGGGTCCCATATTCCTGGTCCACATGTTGAAAAATCAATTAATTAATTTATTTATTTATATTTGAGATAGAGTCTCGCTCTGTTGCCCAGGCCGGAATGCAGTGTTGCAATCCCGGCTCACTGCAAACTTCGCCTCCTGGGTTCAATCAATTCAAATCCTTCAGCCTCCTGAGTAGCTGGGTTTACGGGCATTGGCCACCATGCCTGGCTAAATTTTTTTGTATTTTTTTTTAAGTAGAGATGGGGTTTCACCATGTTGCTCAGGCTAGTCTCAAACTCCTGGCCTCCAGTGATCTGCCTGCGTTGGTCTCCCAAAGTGCTGGTATTACAGGCGTGAACCACCATGCCGAGCAGAAACATCCTGTTTAAGGTAAATGGCTTCCTATATACTTCCTATCACTAAAAGAGAAGCACGGCGTTTATTGAGCCTCTAGGGATTTTGGAGTCCAAAAATACCACAGTAGAGGATATTGCTCTGATGTGTTAATAAAGTCCTTTTTAAATCCCTGTTCAGTTAACCTACCTAGCCTCTGCCAAAACCAGATGGGTTACAGAATGAATGCAAAGACTCCTGGTTTCAAGTGGAATCCAGAACATATAATATCTCTACAGCAGATACAGGGTCTGGCCCAACCTGCTCGGCCCATTGTGCCAGATGATCCAGCAGAATTCAAAGCTGCTAGAGGCATGCAACGTGGGCATCATAGGACTCTGTGCCTGTCTCCATCAAGCCCGTAGGAGAGGAGAAAGCAAACCCCTAGGGAATTACTGCAGAACTATTCCCTCTTCAGTGGAGGATTATCCGCTGTCTGAAAAATAAAAATGCAAGTGCAGAACATTAATCCAAGCAAAAAGCCCCTCAAGCACAAGACCCCGTGCAACTACACAAGGCATCTGCTTATAAAACCAGCCACAGTTGGAGGGCATGAGCACATCTGAGTGGCACAAGGAGGGGACTATATTGGACACAAACATGTGCTTCCTCAGATTCCCTTGACTGTCTCCTGTTCCCATGGTCAGCACCTTGCCTGATCTAGATCATCCTTCCACCTGGGACTTGAATGTATCTGTGGGCATGAAGTCTTGTAACAGAAAAGCTTAGTTGCTCACTTCATGTAAAGTCTAATTAACAAGAACAAGGTCTGATATAAAAATAGAGAATTTATTTGGAAGTTAGCTTGCTGGAAGGGGCACAAAGCATCCTGCCTTCCAACGTGACACTTCATCTTTGGAGCAGAAAGTGAACGTTTTATAAAGTAGGGAAGGAAATGAGCAGGACAGCAGTTGTAAAAGTGGCCACGTGGGCATCCTTTCCACATCCCCTCCTAATGGATGTGAGGTCTAAGGGGAACCCCTGGAGGTGAGAGTTCCATGAGGGCATACTTTTGTCTGCAAATCAACTGTCAAGTCTCAAGGAGAGATCCCTCGTGGAGCACATAGTTAGATGAACTCGCCCGAAGGGACTGTCTGGTGGGGGGAAAGTAAACAGTTCTATGTGCATGTCTAAAAAGTTAAGTAGAAAGCGGGGAAACATAGGGAAAGGGGAGAGGAAAAGAGAAAAAATAAATTAAAAAAAAACTATCTCTTAGAAAAATGGGGGTATTGGTTAGTGTGACTTTCCCAAACAGCCACCAAGGGGTTGGATAATGTAAGGAAGAAAAGCAAAGATGGTAGTTCTGCCTCAAACAAACTTTGGCCAAAGGGAAATAGAAGACAGAAGACAGCTAGGATACATTCTCCCTTTTCTCTCTTCCACGGACTAATATTTGTTGTGGCTTCCCCTTGTAACCCTTCTGGAAAAGTATGGAGAGCCAAGTGCATGCATCTGATGACCACCATGCTGTCTGTCTCACTAATTGTGAAGTGGCCACCAGCAAAATCATATCAACATCACGACACATGGTTTTACATCTTCTTTTGCCTCAGTTTCCACATTTACCCCTCATTGCTGCCCTGGACTTGCCTTCCCAAATAAATGTCATCACTGTAAACTCAGACATTGGCTCTAGTTTTAGACACCAAAAGCTAAGATATACATTCAGTTGCATCACTTTTCCATGCGTTTATAACATGGCAATTAAAACATTCATTTAGAAAGGATACTAAAAAAATATACAAATAATGTGTAAGAAAGGTGACTGGTTACAAACTCAATTTTTAAAAATGAAATGCCTTTTTGTGTATATGATAACCAGCTAGAAAATATCATAATACAAATATATCATTCATAGTAGAAAGTGATTAGGTACATTTCCAACCAACTTAATCAGTTGCAAAGTTTGCTAGCTTTTATTTTTACTTCTTTTGAGTTTACTTCTTTTGTATCAGCAAAGCATTGAAGGCAGCATAAGTCATACTGAAGGAGAAAGAGACGTTCCCTAAAAACAAAAGTGTGTTTGGCAGCTGCTGGGAAGTTCCCTAACATTCTTGTCATGGGGTCTGCTAGCCCCGAGCAGCTGGCACTCACAGGTGACCCTGACCCTGTGCAAATATACCAAAATCTTTAATATGCTTTTCAAAAAGCATTAGAATAAGTGCCATCTAATTTTGACGTTCCACCTTGTCTCTACTTCACACACCTGATATAGCTGCATCAAAGCTATATTACAGTGATATTTCCCCTAGAATTGTGGACTAGCCAAACTTTTGCTCTGAGAAATGCTTCTTCTTCAAAAAGCCTATAACCTCAACCTGAAAATAGAAAATTCAAGCAACTGCAGATTTTATGATGAGCTTCATTTTCACTGATTTACCACATCAAATTATCCATTTATCCAATCACTTATGTGTTCATTAACATATCATTTTTGACCAACTATTCTTTGTGCTGGCTTTTAGGTCCTGTGAGTCAAGAGAAAGCGAGACAGATATGACCTCTCTTTTTATGGTGATTACATTGTACTAGGGAGGACGTATGATAAGCGATATATATATATATATATATATATATATGTCTATAGATATAGATATAGATACATAGATATATATATGATGTGGAGTTAACTTATTTTAAGTTCTACATAATAATGTTAAAATTTCATAACACCAAGAATTAACACAGTCACACAGAATTTAGCTCTTCAACAAGGCTGTACATTTCCTTCTTATAATAGAACTTGGTATCAATGGATACATCAACACACTGTGTAATTTCACCATTTACACCATTATAATAATACATATCATTAATACATTTCCTATCAATTATATAGATTTCACAGATTTTTATGTAATTTTTACATAATTTTTAACATTTGAGGAAAGTTTCATTTGATTATCTTCTATAGTTTCTATACCCTCCTTTGATTGGCCTGTTTTTTTAAGATAGAGAATATTTGAGTTTTTTTGAGGAATATTAGGAATGGGAGACAAAGGAGAAAATTGGAAATTCAGGGGCTCAAGGTGGCTAAGAAAAACAAATGGAAATACTTGACATCAGATGTCAACTTCACAAAAGGTTTCCTTTAATTCAAAAAGTGGAAGCAATGACTTTTCTAACTACAGATAAAAAAATTATAACAGCACTGAAATGATCATCAGCATGTTTCTTCATTCCTATTATAGAAATGATTTTTATTCTAGGCTATTCACATACTGGTATTAAATCTAGTATTCTTTAGTACTGTTTTGGTATACATATACAAAATTTACTCTACATATGTTTTTCACTCCAATTTTATTGTGTGCATCATTAACTAACAACAATTCTATTTGCTTTCTACTAAGCATAAAATAAGAATTCATAATGAAATAAAACCTACCCCAAAGATCCATTCTTATCATTGATTTAAAATTGAATGTCTTTACCATCCAAAAAATTAGAGGTTCACCAATGATAGTTAAGCACATATATGTGGTACAAATTACAATGGAAAAGAGAAATGATTTCTTCATAAAAGCTGTACGTTCTTAATTATAAAGAGAGATAATAAATTCTTCAAATGAAATACTATACAATGAACTATAATAAAATATAAATACTATATATGTGAAATATACTCAGCTTCATAATTTATGGTCAACGTTGTTATTCACACACATGCACACATATACACCCATAAATATATATATGACTTTTCTAGGTATCTGTTTTGAAATTACTCACATACAAACACTATGGAAAAACTGATAGAAATATAAAATGTTCCAGACACCATCAGTTTGTTTTCTGCTAGAAGACCCACGATGCTCCCCTTGTGAATCTATGGAGTTGAGGGTTTCTCTTCTTTCACTCAGCGTGTCATCTGCCACAAAACTGAAAGAAAGGTCTGTTTTAGCTTCCTACTTCCCATAATCAGGATGAATGAGTGGAATGAAGGATACATGATTGCAACAGTTTGGCAAAGCAGGAGTACAAGTTTGCTCTGCTGTGTCCTAAGATTCCAAGTTGATGTGATTATACACAGAAAGTAAATGGCAAATAACATGAGGAAGGAGGTCACAGTTTGCAAAGCTTTTATATGGACCTTGGTGCTGGGATCTTGAGATCCTTTGCTATGGAGCCGCATCTTCTTGAGATGTTTACAAAGAGAACAGATTAACAGCAGAAAACATATTAGGCTCAGAGTAAAGGGTATGAGGTTTGCTAGAGTAGTTACAGTCAAGCTTGAAAGGTGTATTGCATTCCTCAATTTGATCTTCCAAGTCACATTTCCTTCATATTCTTTTGTCCACACTCTCTCATCCATGGTTATCACAGCAAGATTACAAATCAGAAATACCAAGGGCCCCAACAGTATCACCAGAACAACACTCTTAATTCTCTTCTTTAGGTGGAGAGAAATAAGGTTGGAGAAATTGGCAATCTTGAGCAAACAAAATATGCTGAGGCTAGCAGCAAGCCACATGCTGAAATGGTTCGTTACAGCCCAGGCATTAGAAGCAACAATTCTTACTTCTAAACCATATAAAGCAGAATTAAACACAGTTGCATACCAAAGGAATAACATGACCCAGAGTAAACCAATTCTGGAGACCACCAGAGCAGTGAGAATTTGCTCAGCTGAGGAGATCTTTCGTGTGTTAACCCAGTCAATGACATTTACTAGGGCTATGAAGCCATTGGCAACATTTCCAAGAACAAATGCAAACACTACCAGAATTGATGAAATGATGAGCAGAAAACACATCATGTTTGAACAGATAAAAAAATGCAGGCTTAGTAACACTTGTTCTGAGTCCTTTAACATCCAGATGTTAACTTCGATGAACACTTGATTACTAAATGTGCAATAACATTTTCTGCCTTTAAATTCAGTGACTAGTGTCAACAGGCAAGCACCAGCATATGCTAATAGATGAATTCAAAACTGTCTTTATAGAAATAGAAAAGGTCATTATTCTCAAAACAGCTCAAATTCACTCCTCTTCATATACATTCTCTCCTTGCTATATGCTGTACTTTTTTATACTGAGGTTGAAGTGGAAAATGAATTCTCATGTGTTAGTATGCAAAGAAAGGCATATTATTTTTCATTGTTTTGCAATTTTTTTCCTTGTTTAACCTCTCCATAATTTGTATACAGCATCTTCAGTTGTTCCATAGGGAAATTGTAAAACCCAATACATATATCATATAGTAAATGTCTAAATTGTTAAAGGAGCTTGGTCATAACTAGGATCATACCAATATGGACTTATTTTTATGCCAGATTTAAATACCAGATTCTAAACCTTTTATCAAAATCATCCAAGATTATCTTGGAAATCCCTGGGAGGCTGATACACTTTAAAATCTGGTTTCTGATAACCAATAAATTGATATGACATCATTGTTAATAAGCTCCTAAACACATAGACACACATGCACTCACACCCTTAGGGCATGGAAGGAATTATTTTCTTATAATTCCCCAAATGGAAAATGAGTTTCCAGGAACTCATCCAGGTGGTATTAGTCTTATTTTCCAACTCAGGGCTGTCAGACAATGAATAATATTTATCAAACATGTTTCTCAAGCTTAGGCCTTTGGTATATTTACACTCAAGTCTGTTTTGTTTAAACATTAATTATTTAATTAAAATGTTCAGCAATTTTGTAAATATTTCTAAGTACCCTACTCTTTGTCACATAATCCTGCAGTACCCTCCCACCTCAGGCAGGGTGACTACCTTGACCTTGGACTCTGAATTCACTCACGTAATTTGCTTCAGTCAACAGGAAATTAGTAGAATTTACAGAGATTTAAGATGGCTTCCATATTGAAGTTTCCTGCTCTTTTCCACTAACCATGAGGACATCATCTGGCTAGCACACTGTTCCCAGAAGAAGAAAGAGAAACTAATGGAGTCAGAATGCCACTGCCTTATCTACCCTAAATCAGCCAAACTAGCGGCAAGATGCAGTACGTGGCCCATCTCCAATCACCAGAGCCATCCACCAAACCTAGGTTAGAAAAATGTAATCCAAAGACATAATGATACACAATTATCTAACTCAGTTTTCTCTTGCAGAAAAACATAAGTGATGTAGGTATTCTGCTAAATCAGGAGTGTGGGAAATATGCCCACCATTGTTGTGTCAGGAATTCAGGATCGAAGGAAAAAATAGAGAATGTCCAAGTTTTGTCATATGAAGTGGGTAATTAAACCTAAAAGAAAAACCTATTCAGAAATCTGTGGTTGGCAGGTAACATCATGTCAAGTTTCCTAAAGTTGCAACTAAAATCAGAAAGTTTCTACTTAAAATCTCTTAGAGTTACACATGAATGTATACAAATAGTGGATTTTTCCCTTCAGTATATAATGAGCAGAGTAATAATAATTTTCATGGACCATTTCTCCTAATTAATAATTTTTATCATATAGCTAGACTGCACACTTAGAAATGAACCAAAACAAAAATGGAAAACATAGCAATGTGTCATAAACACTCATGTAACCATCATGTAGGGCAAGACATGGAACATTGCTAAGAGCCTAAGTTTACCTCAATGCCACTTTCTAATTCCCTACACCTTTCTTCATGTCTCCTGTGATAAGCAACATCCCTAATTTATGATGGTCTTTTTTTAATATTCTTTATACTTTACCAATAAGGTATTCGACCCTAAACTCAATAGCTTGGTTTGGCCTGATTTGATCTATGTATAGGTGCAATCCTATATGTTCTTATTCATGGCTTCCTGGAATCAACATTTTGTATCCAAAATTTAACCCCATCATTGCATGTACATGTGATCCATATCTTTTCACTTCTCTATATTTTTTTCATTTTTTGATTTTACTGTAATTATTTATCCATCCTTATTTGATATATATTTGGACAGCTTATTTTTTGAGCTTTTATGAATAATGCTACAATGAACATTCTTTCACATATCATTTGCTACAATTCCTCTGTGTATATATATCTGGGTGTAGAATTACAGGGTCCTTGATTATGATGTTCAAATTCTTCTCACAGACATAGAAAAGCCCAAAACACAGTTTGACTAAATTTATTCCTGTTACCTTTATCTCCAGCCTCTTTATTGCTATTTGCATATATCTTATCAATTATACATTCAATCCAAGAAGACACTATTGTTTTATATAGTCAACATTTATTTAGAATTACACACTTAGTTTTCATTGTCATTAATTTTTTTTTTTTTTTTTGAGACATAGTCTCCCTGTCACCCAGGCTGGAGTGCAGTGGCACGATCTCTGCTCACTGAAAGCTCCGCCTTCCGGGTTTAGCCATTCTCCTGCCTCAGCCTCCGGAGTAGCTGGGACTGCAGGTGCCCGCCACCACGCCAGGCTAATTTTTTTTTATTTTTAGTAGAGACGGGGTTTCACCGTGTTAGCCAGCATGGATTGTCATTAATTTGTAATGCTCCTTGCGTGTTCAACTTTGTATTTTCAGTAATTTTATTTTATCTGAAAAATATCATTTTCAATTTCTGTTTATGAAGGTCTACTACTCTTTGGAAACACATTGAAGACATGATTCCCATTAATCCATTGAATTCCTGCTTCCATGTTTTCTGTTAAAATCAGGTTGTATTTAGAATACAGTTCTTTTCAACATACTCTATCTTCTACCTCTAGCTACTTTTCAGATTTTCTATTGGTCTTTTGCGTCCTGTATTATTTTATGTTAATTTGGTTTTAGTTATCATGCCTGAAGTTTGAGATTACTAAAAATATATTCAGGGATACATTTTATACCTTTTGGAAAAATCCTTGCAACATTTCTCTTGCTCTATTTTCTCTCCTCTAATCTTACAGAACTCCAGAAGTATGTTAGGTGTTCTGTCTGTAGCATCAATGTGTTACCCTCTAGCTCTGTGTATTTCCATCTCTTCCCTTCTATGCTTCATTCTGTGTAGCTATCTTCCAATTCACTTATTCTCTCTTGTACTGTATCCAACTGGTTAACTCTGTCTATTGGATTCTCAATATTGATAATTCATTTTTTCAGTCTTATTGTTTTAGTGTTCAGAATAATCTTTTATTCTCCTTCCATAAATCATTTTCTATGGGGAAACTGAACAAACTACTCTTAACACCATGTTCTTTTTAAAAGTGTTTTTGACTTTTGGAGTTTTTAGTTTTTTGTTTTACTCGATACTGTTTTACTTGATGTTTAAGATACCGGTGAGAACTTATACTTGTTTTTTTTTCTTCTTCTGAGACACAGTCTCCCTCTGTTACCCAAGCTGGAGTACAGTGGCAGGATCATAGTCCACTGCAGCCTGGAACTCCTGCGCTCAAGCAATCCTCCTGCCTCAGCTTCCCAAGTATTTGGAACTATAGGCATGCACCAACACACCAGCTAATTTTTTAAATTTTTTGTACAGACGGAGTTTCCACATGTTGTGAAGGGAACTCCTGCTCTCAAGGGATCCTCCCACCTTCGCCTCCCAAAGTGCTAGGACTGCAGGCATGAGCCATCACATCCAGCCTGCAGGGGGAGTTTTTGAAGGTCAGATACTACCTAGAGCTTCGGCTCATGTCCATTCCAAGGTGGAGCTAATCAGTTTGTAGTTACTACCTCTTCCTGAAAGTATAATTGAAATAGATATGTATGGCAGCCGGCAGGACTCACATTCTTCGTGAACTGTAGAGTAAAGGACATTATTATAGCAGGACCAAAGGGAAGCCTCTGAAATTCTCCTCTACTGGCAACAAAATATATAAAATATAATAACCGCATTCCCTAAGGAATGGAACTGGTCAGTGCCGTGACAAAACACTTGAAAGTTACAGGGGATGGTAGTCCTTTCTATAAGCCGATTCACTAAACCTATCTGGCCTCTATCAAAACCAGACGGGTTATAGAATGAATGCAGACTACCAGAAACTTAAATCAACACTCACAAATGCTTTCCAGGATGTGCTGTCTTCACTAAGCAGAGCAGAGCTTCTGGTACTTTTTACTGGGCTTGTGATTTGCTGAATGGTTCTTAATCTACACCCATTATGAGGAAAAATCAAAACAATTTGCCTTGTATCATAATAATAACACTGTGTCACTGTTTTATATCACGGCTATGTCACTTCTGTTTAATTTACATTTTTTAAAACATCGTGATTATTTAATATATTAATAATATTACAGACCAGGCCCTGTGGCACATGACTGTAATCCCATCATTTTAGGAGGCCGACACGGGAAGATCATTTGAGCCCAGGATTTTGAGACCAGCCTGGGTAACACTGTGAAATCCTAGCCCTACAGAAAATACAAAAATTAGCCAGGCGTGATGTTGTGCCCCTGCAGTCCCAGCTGCTAGCAATGCAGAGGTGGGGGAATCACTTGAGCCCAGAAGGTTGAGGCTGTAATGAGCTGTGATCCTGCCACTGAACTCCAGCCTCAGGGACAGAATGAGACCCTGTCTCAAAATAATAGCAATAATAATAATAATATATTACTTGGTACAATAATCAGGAAGTGGCAAGTTTCTTAACTATAGTAAAATACTCTAACGATGAATGGAAGTAAAATACCAGAAGAAAAGAAATCAACCTGAGAAGATTCAGGGACCTACAGCATAGGTGATGTTTTAAAGCATTCAGTGTCCCTAGACCACACGTTGAAACAATCTTTTTTACAGTATATGGCATGTTGCTCTCTCTATAAATTTCCTATCACTACAAAAGAGACACAATGTTTTGGGGGCCTATTGGGATTTTGGAGACAACATATTCCACATTTGAGAATATTGCTCTGACTCATTAATGAAGTTTCCCAGGCTGCTGGTCTCAAGTGGAATCCAGAACAAATGAGGGCTCTACAGAAGATATAGACTCTGCTCCAAGCTGCTCTGGCCACTGAGCCAGATGATCCAGCAGGATTCAAAGATGCTAGAACATACATAGTGGTCATTATAGGACTCTGTGCATGTCTCTGACAAGCCTGTTGGAGAGGGGAGAGCAAATCCCTATGGAATTAGTGTAAGACCATTCTCTCTTCAGCAGACAAGTATCCTCTGTCTGACAAACAAAATAGCAAGTGCAGAATATTAATCCAAGCATAGAGTCCCTCTAAGCACAAGTCCCTATAAGCACAAAACCCTATGCAACTGTGGACGTCATATGCTCATAAAGCCAGCCATGACTGGAGGGTATGAGCACGCCTCAGTGGCACAAGGAGTGGCGGTACTGGACACAAACATGTGCTTTCTCAGATTCTCTTCACTATGTCCAATTCCCCTGGCCAGCACCTTGCCTGATCCAGGTCATCCTTCTATTTGGGACTTGAATGCATCACCACACTGTGGGCATGAGGTCTGACTTTCATGACCACCACCAAGGGACTGGATGATGTAAGACAGAACAGCAGAGATGATAGTTCTGCCTCAAGGAAACCCTGACCAATAGGAAATAGAAGACTAATGACAGATGAGCAGATACATTCTCCCTCCTCTCTCTCTTCCATGGACTAATGCCAGCTGTGGTTTCCCCTTGTAGCCCTTCTGGAAAAGTGCTGGAAGCCAAGTACATGCATCTGATGACCATCATGCTGTCTCTCTCACCTCACTGTGAAGTGGCTGCCATCAGGGTCATACCAGACATCACCACACATTGTTTCACATTTGTTCCGGTCTCAATTTCCACACGTCCTTGCCATTTTTGTCTTGAACTTGACTTCTAAATAAATGGTAGCACTTCAATAACAGGTATTACATTAAAAACATTTTGGTAAAGTAGCTGGTTACTAACTCAATTTTTTGAAATGAAATGTCATTTTTGTTTAAATAATCAACTAGAAAATATCATAATACAAATAATTGACAATAGAAAAAAATACATATTCAAATAGACCAAAGTTGTTTATATGATTTTTCAAACTATTATAATAGGTGCCATCTAATTTTGGTGTTCTACCTTGTCTCCAACTCAGACACCTGATACAGCTGCATCAAGACTATATTATTGTCATATTTCCCCTAAAATTGTGGAATAGCCAAACTTTTCCTTAGGAGAAGGATTCTGCTTGGATAAGCCTGTAATCTTAACCTGAGACTGGAACAGGGGAATTCATGCAACTGCAGATTTTGTGTGAGTTTCCTTTTCACTGGTTTACCACATCAACTTATCCATTTTAGCCACCCATTTATTTGTTCATTAAAGTATCATTTTTGACCATCTATTCTTGGTGCTGGTTTCGAGTTCCTGGGAGTCAACAGAAAGCAAGACAGACATTATCTCTTTTTTTACAGTCCTTACATTGTACTGAGGAAGATATATGATTAAAAAAATACACAAATCAGGTGGGGGGATGATTCATCTTAAGGTTTAAATCACATTGTTTAAATTTCATAACACCAAGAATTAATACAGTCAAGTAGAATTTAGCTGTGAACAAGACTGTACATTTCTTTCTTATAATAGAACTTCCTATTAAAGAATATGTCAACACCCTTTCATTTCATCATTGATGACAAAATTACAACGTTAAGGCTCATCTCATAATTAATACACAGATTTCATAGATACTTTTTTAACATTTACAAAAAGTTTGACTGAAATATTTTCCACAATTTATATATTATATTTACATTGATTTTATTTTTCAAAAAGAGAGGATTTGAGTTCTCTTATCTGAAGTTTAGAAGGAATTTCATAAATGGAAGGTAAGGATATAATTAGCAATTCAGGGGCTTAAAAGTGCTTTAGAAAGAATACTAAAATAATTTGCATGAGATCTCAACTTCAAAAACAGCTTTTCTTTAATTCAAAAGCGGAAGAAATGACGTTTCTAACTGCATATGCATAACTGATGATACCAATCCAGATCATGATCATGATATTTCATCCCTTTATTAGAGAAGGGATTTTTTCCTAAGCTATTCACATATGAAATCTAATATTCCTCAGTACCGCTTATGGTAGACATACATTAAATTTACTCTGCATATGCTTCTCACTCAAATTCTACTGTGTGCATTCTTTTCTAACAATAATTCTCATTGCTTTTTACTAAACATAAAATAGAAATTCATAATGGAATAAAACACCAAAGATACATCCTCATTATTGATTTAGAATTGAATGACTTTACCATCCAATAAATTCGAGGTTCAAGCAATGAATTCTAAGCACAATGTGGTGTATTCCTGTGGTTCAAATAACAATAGAAAAGAGCAATATTTATCCTGGGATAAGCTGTTACTTCTTAATAATTATAAATAGACATCATAAATTCTACAAATGAAATATAAAATACATGAATGAAATATACATGGCTTCAAAATTCTAAGAAATTTTTGTCATATTTTGTATAATTTGGCAGTTTGTATGAAAAAAACAGAAAAGAGCATGTTATTGTCAATGTTCTTAAGTTTTCATACACACATAAACACACACATATATATATTTTTTTTTCTAGACTAATATTAGGTCAAAGGCTTTTCTAGGTATACGTTGGGAAATTATTCATACACATACAGTATAGAAAAACCAGTAAGAAATATAAAATGTTTCATACACCACCAGTTTGTTTTCTGCTAGAAGACACACAATGCCCCTCTCATGAATCTATGGAGATGAAGGCTTCTCTCCTTTCACCCAGTACCTCACTTGCCGCAAAACTGAAAGAAAAGTCTGCTTTAGCTTCTTGTTTCCCCAAATCAGGATGAATGGGTGGATTGAAGGATAGCTGAATCTAATAGCTTTGCAGAACATGAAGACAGGTTTGTTTTCCAGACTCCCAAAACTCCAAACTGATATCATTATGGACAGAAAGTAAACGGCACATAACAAGAGGAAAAAGATCACAGTTTGCAAAGCTTTTATGTGGACCTTGGTGCTGGGATCTTGAGATCCTTTACCATGGAGCTGCATCTTCTTGAGATGTTTACACAGAGAACAGATTAACAGCAAAAAACATAGCAGGGTCAGAGTGAAGGGCACTAAGTTTCCTAGCGTGGTTACAGTCGCATCTGAAAGGTACACTGCACTCCTCAATTTGATCTTCCAAGTCAAGTTTCCTTCATATTCTTTTGTCCGTACAATCTCTTTCATGTTTATCACAAAAAGTTGACAAGCCAAAAATAGTAAAGGCCCCAACAGCATCACCAGAATGACACTCTTAACTCTCCTCTTTAAGTGAAGAAAAATAAGGTTGGAGAAATTGGCAATCTTGAGCAAATAAAATATGCTGAGGCTAGTAGCAAGCCAGTTGCTGAAATGGCCGGTTACTGCCCAGACATTATAAGCAGTAGTTCTTACTTCTACACTATAAAAAGCTGGATTAAACACAGTTGAATACCAATTTAATAATAATACCCAGAGCAAACCAACTCTGGAGACCGCCAGAGCAGTGAGAATCTGGTCAGCAAAAGAGATCTTTTGTCTCTTGACCCGCTCAATGGAATTTACCAATGCTATGAAGCCATTAGCAAAATTTCCAATAACAAATAGAACCACTACCACACTGGAAAAAATGATGGGTATAAAAGTTGTCATGTCTGAACAGACAAAAAAAAATTGTTTTAATGCTGGTGTTGTGTCCGGAGTTGGTTCCTGCAGGTGGGTTCGTGGTCTCCCTGACTTCAAAAATGGAGCCACCGACCTTCACGGTGAGTGTTGCTGCTCTTAAAGATGGCATGGACCCAAAGAGTGAGCAACAGCAAGGTTTATTGAGAAGAGAGAAAGGACAAAGCTTCCACCGGGAGGAAGGCGACCCAGGCAGGTTGCTGCTGCTGGCTGAAGCCATGAGCTTTTATTCCCTTATTTGTCCCCTCCCATTTTCCTTTTTTTGTCCTATCAGAGTGCCCTTTTTTCAATCCTCCCTGCCATTGGCTACTTTTAGGATCCTGTTGCTTGGTGTATTTTAGAGCGATTGGTGCATTTTACAATCCTCTTGCTAGCTACAGAGCGCTGATTGCTGTGGTTTTACAGTGCACTGTTTGGTGCATTTTACAATCCCCTTGCTAGCTACAGAAACGTTCTCCAAGTCCCCACTCGATTCAGAAAGTATAGCTCGCTTCATCTCTCAATGTAATATAACTGGGTGTGATTGCTTGAATATCCTGACCTTAAATTCTATATGCACCTGATTTGTGAATGTGCTGTGACATTCTTTTTACTTTTAATTGTTGTGACCAGTGTCAAGCCAGAAATAACCATGGCATGTTAACTGATGAGTTCAATGATCTCTTTATGGAAAACATTCTTATTTTCAAACAACTCAAATTAACTCATTCATTCACTGTCTGTTCTTGTTATAGGCTGGAATTATTCACACTGAAATTGACGTGAAACCTGAATCCTCATTTGCTAGTACGCAAATAGGGACATATTCACTTTCAGTGTTTGCAATTTTTCCTTGTGTAACCTCTCCATCATTTATCTTTAGTGACTTCAGTTGTTAGGGAAGTTTTGTAACTCAATATATATATCATATAGTAAATATCTAAATTCTCAAAGGGAGCTTGGTCATAACTAAGATCATCACCAATGCGGACTTTTTTAAATCACAGATTTAAATACACAGAATCCTAACTGCTTTTATCAAAGGCATCTCAGATTTTCTTGAGAACCACAGGCAGGCCACTACTCCATAAGATCTGGTTGCTGCTAACACTTTCGTATAACTTCATTATTCACAAACTCATAAATATGCACACAAATATACACATGTGCACACCACTTATGAATGGAACAAATTATTTTCTTGTAATTTCCAAAATAAAAAATGAGTTTCCAAGAGGCTGTGCAGATGAAATTAGTCCTATTTTCCCACTCAGGGTTTTCAGCCCATGAATAATATTTATTTATCAAAAACATTATCTCTAATTCTTAGGACTTGGTAAAGTTTCTCTCAAGTCTAATGTTTAAATATTATTATAAAAAATATTTAGCAATTTTATAAGAATTCCTCAGTACCAGACCCTTTGATATATAATCCTGCAGTATCCTATCACAGGAAGACTGACTACCTTGCCCCTGAACTTGGAGTTCAATCATTTCACTTACTTTGATAAACAGAAAATTACTACAGTTTGCATAGAGATTTGAGATGGCTTCCATACTGGGGATTCTTCTTCTTTCCATTTACCATAAGAGTATGGCCTATCTAGTACACTGTTCCCAGAAGAAGAATGAGAAACTAATGACGTGAGATTGCTGCCACCTGATCCAGATTAAATTGGCAAAACTCTAACGTCCTCCAAGATGTAGAATTTGGCCCATCTCAAATCACCACAGCCATCCACCAAACCCAGCTTAGAAAAATAAAATCCAGGCCCAGCGCAGGCGAGGTTGAGGAAGGCAGATTACGAGGTCAAGAGATGGAGACCATCCTGGCCAACATGGTGAAACCCCATCTCTACTAAAAATACAAAAATTAGCAGGGCATGGTGGTGTGCACCTGTATTCCCAGCTACTCGGGAGGCTGAGGCAGGAGAATGGCATGAACCCGGGAGGCGGAGGTTGCAGTGAACTGAGATTATGCCACTGCACTCCAGCCTGGGCGACACAGCAAGACTCTGTCAAAAAACAAAACAAAACAAAACAAAACAAAACAAAACAAAAAACCAACATCAAACGACATGTGAGATATAAATATCTAATGTAGTTTTGAAGGGTCTTCTCCTGCAGAGAAACATAACTGATAAAAGAACTCTTAAACCAAGAGTGTGGGAAATATGTACAACCTTGTTGTGTCAGGAATTCAGGAGCCGAAAGAAAAAATAGATGGGGAATGGCAAAGGTTTGTCCTGTGAGGTCGATAATTAAGGCTAGAAGAAATCCTTTGGAAAGATCTGGGGGTGGCAGATAACATCATCTCAAATTTCCTCATGTTGCAACTAAATAAGAAAGTTCCTATTTCAACTATCTTAGAGTTGTATAGGAATGTATACAAATAATTGATATTTCCCTTCAGTATATAATGAGACGAGTAATAATAATTTCTATGAGATATTTCTCCTAATTACAAATTTGTATATTAAAGTTATAATGCGCACTTAGAAATGAACCAATACAAAAATGGGAAATACCACAGTGTATCATAAACACTCAAGTAACCATGATGCAGGGCAAGACAAGGAACACCTAAAACAGGCTAGATCCACCTCCATTCCACTTTCCAAGTCCCTAAACCCTTCTTCGCATCTCCTGATATAAGCAATATCCATAATTTATAATGGTTATTTCCTCAATTTTCTTCATACTTTACCAACTAGGTATGCAACCCTAAACTCCATCGCTTGGTCTAGCCTACTTTGAACGCTGTATAGGTGCAATCCTACATGTTCCTCTTGTTTGTGGCTTCCTGAACTCAACATTATGTTTCTGAAATTTAGTCACATAGTTGCAAGCACATGTGATTTTTTTTCACTTCTCTATATTGTTCCATTGCATGGAATTACTGTAATGATTCATCCAACCTTAATATGTATTTGGCCAGTTTCTTTTTTGAACAGTTATGAATAATTCTACTAGAACATTCTTTCATATATCATTTGATACAATTCCTTTGCATATATACCTATGAGTAGAATTATATTATCATTGTTCAAAATCTCCTCATAGACATAGAAAAGTTCAGAAAATAATTTAACTAAACTTACTCCTGTCACCTTTACCTCCATTCTATTTTTTGCCATTTGCATATGTCTTATCAATTGTATAATTACCCCAACAAGACATTATTATTTTCTAAACATTCATTTAGAATTATGCACATATTTACCACTTTCATTAATTTGTATTCCTTCTTGCATATTCAACTTAATATTTTCAATAAGACCCTTTATTGGCCAGGCAGGGTAGCTCACACCCATAATCCCAACATTTTGTAAGGCTGGGGCAGGAGCACCCAGGAGTTCAAGACCAGCCTGTGCAACACAGTAAAACTGCCTCTACAATGAATGAAAAAGTTAGTCAGGCATAGTGAAGCTACTCACAAGGCTGAGGTGGGAGGATGGTTTGAGCCCAGGAGTTCCAGACTGCAGTAAGCCATGATCCTACCACTGAACTCCAGCCTGGATAACAGAGTGAGACTCCAACTCTACCAACAAAAATAATAATAATAATATTAATAATAATTTTTCTTCTATCTGAAAAGATGTATTTTAAGTTTCTGTTTATCAAGATCTATTCTACTTTTGAAATACACTGAAGACATGAATCCATTGAACTCTAGCTTTATTTTTGTCTGTTGAAAATCAGCTTGTCGTTTAGACAGTTATTCCCTTTAACATAATCTATCTTTTCCTCTAGTTACTTTTCAGGTTTTCTATTGGTCTTTGATGTCCTGTCATTTTATGTTAATTTGGTTTTAGTTATCGTGTCTGAAGTCTGATAGTTTCTAAAAATATATGAACTGATATACTTTATCACTTTTGGAAAAATCTCCACATTGCTTCTGCCCCATTTGTTCTCTTCTAATTTTCGGGAACTGCAGAAGTATGTTAGTTGTTCTGATTGTAGCTTCACTGTCTCTGACCCTCTAGCCTTATATTTTCTATCTATTCGTCTCTTTATCTTCATTCTGGGTAGTTATCTTCAAATTCACTAATTCTTTCTTATGTTTAACTGGTTTTTAACTCTATTGGATTCTCAAAATTGATTACTCTTTTTGTTTTTGTCTTATTGTTTTAGAAGTAGAAATGAACTTTTGTTCTCCTTATATAAATCATTTTTCTAACGGAGAAACTAAACCAAGTATTCCTAAAACCAAGTTATTAAAAAAAGAGTTTTTTTAAACTTTTAGTATACCTGACATGAAAATGGTAACCATATTTTTCTTTTTGTAATACTTTGGTCAAAGAAGAGAATAAAAGCAAGATCTAGGCATTCTCCTGCAACTTAGAAGAAACTGGAAATTGATTTGATGTCAGTAGCTTTTTTTGGATAGTATCTTATCTGTTGCTGGGTCATCACCACAAACTCTTTTCACAGGCAAATTCAATGAGCAGCACTGGATCTCAAAATGTCATTAAAATTAATTAAATAGAGCATCTCAACCACAGCTCCACCACTCTATTCCATGATTTAAATTTTACGCTGTTTTTGCTTTGTTTTGTTTTGTTTTTTGAGACGGAGTGTCGCTGTCTCCCAGGCTGGAGTGCAGTGGCGCGATCTCGGCTCACTGCAAGCTCTGTCCCCCGGGTTCACGCCATTCTCCTGCCTCAGCCTCCGGAGTAGCTGGGACTACAGGAGCCTGCCACAACGCCTGGCTAATTTTTTGTATTTTTAGTAGAGACAGGGTTTTACTGTGTTCGCCAGGATGGTCTCCATCTCCTGACCTCGTGATCCACCCACCTCGGCCTCCCGAAGTGCTGGGATTACAGGCGTGAGCCACCGCGCCCGCCCTATGCTGTTTTAATTAGCAGAAATCAAAACTTCTTAGTTTATAACAATCATTGAAAGATCAAATAGTAAAACAGTACTTACGAGTTTATCAAAAAATGAAGGACATCTGACATAAGTAGACTTTAAGTCCCATGGAAACAAAACTGAATCTGGTGCTTCTATGGAATTCCACCATTTAATCCTATCCATGAATATAGTTTTGGTTATAGAACTACAACCTTCTAACTCCATCATCACTCACTCAAGTGTGACAGAAGATCTGGGGTCTTACCTCTGTTTGACAGTTTGGTCCTAAAATCCGCTCTTTAGAAATAAAAGCGTGCTCAAAAAATGTGTTACTCGCTTTATCTTTCTTATTAAGGAATTTTATTTACACGAAAATCTGAATTGTTTCTATCATGATCATAGTGAAAGGAGGATTCATTGAAGGTCATCCATAAATAATTATTTGCATAAGCAATGTATTGTAAAATAAACTACACTTAATTTCTAAATCTAAATGTATTGGAGCTTGACTTGAACTTTGCTGTTTACTATTGTAACTTTCCCACAATGATGATCTTTTTAAAATTACTTATTTTCCAAATTATGTATTTAAATATTTCAAAAACAAACCACTTCATGATATAGATGAAGATATAGACGATGATGATAATGATGATGGCAGGTGAAAGGGAGAATGCTATTTGATCAGTGTGATTTCAGGCTTGTTTCTAAGTACTGGAGCTCAGCGTGATGAGAGAACACTACTATTCTTCCTCATGGCCTCATGATTCTTCTATGATTCTCAGCATTAGGCCTAGACAAGTACCCTCACATGGTATTTCATCAAGAATAATGTAAAACCAACATATTTTCAACGATTTATTTGCTTTTTTTTCTTTTACTACATTTTAAAATTCGATAAGAAACACGACCTCCAACAATTAGGATTCTATTTTGGGATTTTTTTTGGCATTTTTGAACACTAACATGGACAAATAGTCTATGCAATAATACAGTATATCAACTTTAGTTTATCTTTTAATAGCATCATTAGCAAGCCAAATTCTTGCAAATGCTTTTTCCCCTTCTTAGCTATGGTGACTAAATCTGGATCATTTTACTATAGCAGTCAAAGTTGAATTATATATGCACAAACATACTCAAAGATCATGCTAAATATGTTTTATACGTTAAAAAATTTGCCTTTCTATGGTATTTTTCTCTAATGTAGAGCCAAAAAATTTATAGTAACAAAATATTTAACCCAACTTACAGGTGTACATGTGAATAGTATTGTGAAATTAAAATGCTAAAAATATGAGTATAAATATTTCATTTAGAGACACATTTTTGGATATATTTATTTAATTTAATATCCATCGTAGTATAATTTATTGGAAATTCATGAATTTCTAACACTTTCAAATGTGTATCATAAATAATCAAATTGGAAATAAAAAGTGTCTATCAATAATAAATATTCAAATTTTGATGTTTCAAATTCATATTAGCATTAAGAAGGTGGATTTACAGTTCTTGCTTATCTCTCCTTTTTTAAAATTAATTTAAGAAAAGTTTTAGGTCAGGTGTGGTGGCTCACACCTATAATCCCAGCATTTTGAAAGGCTGAGGGAGGTGGATTGCCTGAGCACAAGAGTTCAAGCCCAGCCTGGGCAACATGGCAAAACCTTGCCTCTAAAAAAAAATAGAAAAAATCAGCAGGGTGTGGTGGTGCACACCTGTTGTCCTAGATATTCAGGAGGCTGAGATGGGAGAATCACTTGAGCCCAGGTGGCGGAGGTTGCATTGAGCCAAGATTGCGCTTGTGCACTCCAGCCTGGGCAACAGAGTGAGACGCTGTCTCAAAATAAAAAAAGAAAAGTTTTAAATTTTAATTTGGATTTCTTAGTACCATAATGCTCTATTCTCCTTTATTCAGCAAAAACTCTAATTACAATGGTATCTATGAGAATATGCTGTATCACCCTAATTTTATACTTAGAAATATACTTTATGTTTCTGCTTTTTTAACATTTTTTATTGTGGAGCATAACATACACATAGAGAGTAATAACACAACAGAAACAGAAAGAGAAAAAATTGTAACGTTAACATGGATGTTACCACACATTGGCAAGAAAAAAGAATTTGCCAGCCATCCAGATAATCCCAATATATGTCTTCTTGCTGACATTTTCCTCCTTCTTGACTATCCCAGTTGTTATGATGATCACTCATATGTTTCACTACAGAGTTTTATCACCAATGTAATAAATTACAATTATTAAAAAGAATGTTTTTCAAACTTTATGTAAATGAGATTATACTAAATGTATTTTTCCATCTTGATAATTCTTCTCATATCTGTATTATTATTTATGTAGCTCAAATTTGTTCATTTTCTCTGTTGTATTATTCTGTTGTAAACATGTCAGTCTTGTTTGTTAATTTTGATCACTGTATAGTATTCCATTGTATAAGTATGCCACAATTTGTTTATTCATTTGGAGGACTGATAGACATTTGGAGGACTTCTCAACTTTAGCTATTGAAACTCAGTGATATGCATGTGAATGTATATGTATTCTGATAAGAGTATAAATGCTGGGTCTTAGGATGTGATCCTTCATCTTAATCAGATAATGCCATACTCGGCCGAAATGATGTCACAGATTTATAATTCTAGGAGTGGTGTATGAAAATTCCCATTGTGTCGTATCCTTTCCAAAATAAGTAATGTCAATTTCAAATACTCTTTTGTTATAAGCAAGTGTACTTATACTGGAGATATTTCCTTTAATCAATCATTATGTCAAATGACTTTGAAAAAATATAATTAGTTAACAGCATACTGTAAGGGATATTTCAGGATTGTTGAACAACTCTTAAAAGGACTCAAAGAAAAAAATATTGAAATATAAAAATAGTCTACAAGCTTAATGTAGGTGTCCATGGGAAAATATAAATATATTATTGTTGTTATTGAAAAAATGATTGGTAGTAAACTTATCATGTCTGAATTTTTTTAAAGGCAGGCCTGATATCCTGACGAGATTCCCTTTACCTGACTTTTACTTCTATTCCTGATTCCTAAGTGTGCAGTAATGTTGTTTTTCCTTTTAAATTCTGTGACCAATGTCAAACAGGAAAGCATCTCAATAGGCCAACGGATGTAATCAATGCTCTCTTTATGGAAAATATGATAATTTCCAAAACAGCTCAAATTAACTCTTGTTCAAACACAATGTCCTTGCTGTAAGATAAAATTTTCCACATCGTTGTTGAAGTAAAACCTGAATTCTCATCTACTAGCATGCCAATGAAGAGTTTTTTAAATGTTCTGCAATTTTTTCCTTGTTTAAACTCTCCATAATTTGTGTTCAGCAATTTAACAACCCAATACACAGATGACACATTGGTTTTATTACCTGGTAAAGGGAGCTTGGGCATAACTAGGATCATCACCAAAGTAGATTTATATTTTCAACGCCAGTAATATGTAGAATGAATCCCGTCTTTTCCTACCAAAAGCATTTAAGGTTTTCTTGGGAACCTCAGAAAGGCCAATAATCCTTAAATCCTGGTGGCTACTAATACTTTTGTATAACTTATTGTTTACAAGCTCATTCATACAAACACATTCACAAACATACACACATACATACATACTCACCCCCTCATGGATAGAAGGAATTTCTGTCCTCTAATTTCCAAAATGGAAAATTAATTACAGGGACATCATCCAGGTAGAAATAGCCCTGCTTTTCCACTTGGGCTTTTCAGACCATTTTCAATATTTATCAAACTTATCGCTCATGCTGAGGCCTTTGACTAAGTTTTTCTCTAGAGCCCAGTTAATACTTAAATATTTATTGTTTAATTAAAATACTCAGCAATTGTGTAACTATTTTGGGTGACTTGAAAAACACATGTTTCTCACTGAAGAGTCTAGAGTTCTTTGTATATGAATATTTGGTTTCATTTTTCTCCGTTTAATTTATTTTTGATTACTTAAAGGATTAAGAGGAATAGATGTTAAAATCAGTCTCCAATCTTGGATTTTATTTCTTTTCCATTTAAAAAGTATAATTGTTTCTAAGAGAGGATTTTGGAGTCAAACTGCCAAGACAGGAAACCAGATTTTCTGCTTCACATAGCTATGCTCTGAGACTTCATCTTATAACTACTCTGTGCCTCAGTATAATCATCTGTTCATGATGAGTTCATGTCCTTTGCAGGGACATGGATGAAGCTGGAAATCAGCATTCTCAGCAAACTAACACAGGAACAGAAAACCAAACACCACATGTTATCACTCATAAGTGGGAATTGAACAGTGAGAACACACAGACACAGGGAGGGGAACATCACACACCTGGGCCTTTTGGAGGGTGGGGAGCTAGGGATAGCATTAGGAGAAATACCTAATGTAGATGACGGGTTGATGGGTGCAGCAAACCACCATGGCACATGTATACCTATGTAACAACCCTGCGTGTTCTGCACATGTACCCCAGAACTTAAAGTATAATTTTAAAAAATAGCTACAACAGGCTTTGAAGACATAGACAGTACAATAAGATATTAATAGTGAAAACAAAAAGTTAAAACCTGAGAAGATGGAGTTAAGGTGCAGAGTCCTCATTTGTTTTGTTTTTGTGCTTGTTTGTTTGCTTATGTAAACAGTACTAAGTGGTTATTAGCTTGAAATGATGGGTTAGAAGATAGCATTTGCAAGCCTCATGGTAATCTCAAACCTAACAGCATAGAATGGATACACAAAAAAATAAAAAGCAAGAAACTATATCATATCACCAGAGAAAATAACCTTCACTAATGAAAAATAGGAAGGAAGGAAAGAAAGAATAGCAGACTACAACATAACCAGAAAAGAAATAATAAAATGACAGAAGTAAGACCTTACTACCAGTAATAACGTTGAATGAAAATGGACTAAACTCTCCAATCAAAAGACATAGTTTGGCTAAATGGAAAAACAAAACAAAAAAAAACTCCAATCTGTTGCCTCTAAGAAACACACTTTGCCTATAAAGACATGCACAGAGAGAAAATAAAGGGATGGAAAAAGATATTCCATGTCAATGCAAACCAAAAAAAAAAAAAAAAAAAAAAACAAAAAAGTAGAGTACCTATACTAATATTAGACAAAATAGTTTTCAAGACAAAAACTATGAGGACATAAAGAAGGTCACCATATAACGATAAAAGGGTCAATTCACCAAAAGGATATAGCAATTGTAAATATATGTGCACTCAACACTGGAGCACCCAGATATATAAAGCAAATATTATTAGAGCAAAGCAAAGAGAAAAGCCTCAATTCAATAATAGATGGAGACTTCAACATTCCACTTTCAGCATTGGACAGATCCTCCAGACAGAAAATCAACAAAGAAACATCAGACTTAATCTGCACTATGGAACAAACTGATTATTAGATACTTACGTAACATTTCACCCAAAAGTTGCAGAATAAACATTCTTTTCCTCAGCACATGGATTTTTCTCAAGGATAGACCATATGTTAGATCACAAAACAAGTCTTAAACAATCCAAAAAACTGAAATATTGCCAAGCATCAACTCTGGCCACAATGGGATAAAACTAGAAATCAATAACAAGAATAATTTTGGAAACTATATAAACACATGGAAATGAAACAATATGCTCCTGAATGACCAGTAGGTCAACAAATAAATTTAAAAGGAAATGGAAAATTGCTAGAAACAAATGATAGTGGAAACAAAACATACCAAAATCTATGAAATACAGCAAAAACAATACTAAGAAGGAAATTTACAGCTATAAAAGCCTACATCAGAAAAGAAGAAAAATTCAAATAAACAACCTAATTGTGTATCTTAAAGAACTAGAAAAACAAAAGTAACCCAAACCCAAAATTAGTAGAACACAAATAATAAAAATTACAGCAGAAATAAATGAAATTGAAATGAAGAAAACAATACAAAAGATCAATGAAACAAAAACTTGTTTTCTTGAAAAGTTAAACAACATTGACAAACGTTTAGGCAGACTAAGAAAAAAAGATCCAAATTAATAAAATCAGAGATGAAAATGGAGATATTACAACTGATACAACAGAAATTCAAAGAAATATTAGTGACTAGTATGAACAACTATATATCAATAAATTGGAATCTCTAAAACAAATGGACAAATTCCTAGACACATACAACCTACAAAGATCGAACCATAAAGAAGCCCAAAACCTGATAAGACCAAAAACAGGTAATGAGATAAATTCTGCAATAAAATGTCTCCCAGTTTAAAAAAAAAAAAAAAAAAAAGCCTGGGAGCAGACGGCTTTAGATCTGAATTCTACCAAACATTTAAAGAACTGATGCCAATCCTACTCAAACTCTTCTGAAAAAATAGAGAAAGAGGGACTACTTCCAGGCTCATTCTTTTTTTTTTTTTTTTTTTTTTTTGAGGCAGAGTCTCACTCTGTCACCCAGGCTGGAGTTCAGTGGCATGCTCTCCACTCACTGCAAGCGCCACCTCCCGGGTTCACGCCATTCTCCTGCCTCAGCCTCCCGAGTAGCTGGGACTACAGGCGCCCACCACCACGCCCGGCTAAATTTTTGTATTTTTAGTAGAGACGGGGTTTCACTGTGTTAGCCAGGATGGTCTTGATCTCCTGACCTCGTGATCCACCGAACTCAGCCTCCCAAAGTGCTGGGATTACAGGCGTGAGCCACCAGGCCCGGCCCAGGCTTATTCTTGAAAATCTTATTACCCTGATACCAAAACCAGACAAAGACACATTGAAAAAGGAAAACTACAAGTAAATATCCCTGATGAACATTGATGCTAAAGTCTCAACAATATACTAGCGAATCAAATTAAATAATACATTAAAAAGATAATTCCTCATGGCCAAGTGGGATTTATCCCTGAGATGCAAGGGTGGTTCAACATACACAAATCAAAATCAATCAATGTAATACATCATATCAACAGAATGTAGGACAAGAACCATATGATCATTTAAATTAATGCTGAAAAAGCATTTGATAAAATTCAATATTCCTTCATGATAAAAACCCTCAGAAATCTGAATATAGAAGGAAAATCTAAACATAATAAAAATCATATAGAAAGACCCACAACTAGTATCATACTGAATTGGGAAAAACTAAAAGACTTTCCTCTAAGATCTGGAACATGCCAAAAATGCTCACAATCACTGCTGCTATTCAACATAATAGTAGAAGCTCTAGCTAGAGCAATCATGCAAGAAAAATAAATAAAGAGCATCCACATAGGAAAAGAATAAGCCAAATTATCCCTGTTTTCAAACAATATGATCTTATATTTATAAAACCTGAAGACTGTACCAAAAAACTATTAGAATTGATAAACAAACTCAATAAATTTGCAGTATACACAATTAACATAAAAATTAGTAGTATTTCTATATGTCAATAGTGAACAATCTGAAAACAAAATCAAAAAATTAATCCCACTCACAAAAGCCACACATAAAATTAAATAGCTGAAGATTAACTCAACCAAAGAGATGAAAGATCTCTATAATGAAAACTATAAAACACTAATGCAAGAAATTGAAAAGGACACCCAACAAAAGAAAAGATGGTCCATGTCCATGGATTAGAAGTATCAACATTGTTAAAATGGCCATACTACCCAAAGAATCTACAGATTCAATGTAATTCCTATCAAAATACTAAAAACATTCTTCACAGACATAGAGAAAACAATCCTAAAATTTATATGGAGCCACAACTGACCCAGAATAGCCAAAAGTATCCTAAGAAAAAAGAACAAAAGTGGAGGAATCATGTTACCTGACTTCATATTATACTACAGAGGCTGTAGTAACCAAAACAGCATGTTACTGGCATTAAGACAGACACATAGACCAACGGAATAGAATAGACAACTTGGAAACAAATCCACACACCTACAGTGAACTCATTTTTGAAAAAGATGCCAAGAACGTACACTGGAAAAAGACAGTCTCTTCAATAAATGGTGCTGGGACAACTGAATATCCCTATGCAGAAGAATGAAACTAGTCCCATATATCTATACAAATATCAAATCAAAATGGATTAAAGATGTATCTTTAAGACCTCAAACCATGAAGCTCCCATAAGAAAACTTCAGAGAAACTCCCCAGGACATTGGTTTGAGCAAAAATTTCTTGAGTAGTAATACCCCACAAGCACAGGGAACCAAGTCAAAAATGCACAATTGGGATGACATCAAGTTAAAAAATACTTCTGCACAGCAAAGGGTACAATCAACAAAGTAAAGAGACAACCCACAGAATGGGAGAAAATATTTGCAAACTACTCATCTCACAAGGGATTAATAACCAGAATATAAAAGGAGCTTTAACAACTGTATAGGAAAAAAAAAATCTAACAATCTGATCAAACAATGGGTGAAAGATTTGAATATGCATTTCTCAAAAGAAGATATACAAATGTCAAACACACATATGAAAAGGTGAAAAGGTGCTCAACATCATTGACCATCAGAGAAATGCAAACCAAAACTAAAATGAGATAGATATCATCTCAACCCCGTTAAAACAGCTTATATCCAAAAGGCATGTAACAAGTGCTGGTGAAGATGTGGAGAAACGGGAACCATTCTACACCTCAGGTGGGAATATAAATTAGTAAAACCACTATGGAAAACCATTGAAAGTTTTCTTAAAAGACAAAAATTAGAGCTACCATATGTTCCACCAATCTCACTGGTGTGTATATACCCAAAAGAAAGGAAATAAGTGTATCAAACAGGTATCTACACTCCCATGTTTGTTGTAGCACTGTTCACAATAGCCATGATTTGGAAGCAACCTGAGTGTCCAGCAACAGATTAATAGATAAAGATAATATGGTACATATACACAATGGAGTACAATTGAGCCATTAAAAAATGAGATCCTGTCATTTGCAGCAATATATGGATAGAATTGGAGATTATTATGTTAAGTTGAATACATCAGAAACAACTGCAATGTTTGCACAGAAGGCATGGACATAGAGAGTACATGGATGCTAAACAAAGGCTGGGAAAGGTAGTGGAGGCTAAAGGGAAGGAGTGGCTGGTTAATGGTTACCAAAAAAAAAAAAAAATAGAAAGAATTAATAAGACCTACTATTTGATAGCACAGCAGGGTGACTATAATCAATGATAATTCAGTTGTACATTTTAAAATGACTGAAAGAGTATAACTGAATTGTTTGTAACAAAAAAGAGTAAATGTTTGAGGGGATGGCTACCCCATTCTTCATTATGTGACATTGCATGCCTGTATCAACACATCTCATGTACCCAATAAATGTATGCACCTAGTATGTATCCACGAAACTTAAAAATACATTTTAAAAAAAGAAATTCCTAAACTTCCTATATCTGTTTACTGATAAGGTAAATTAATATGTCCACATAATGTTAAAATACCAAAAAATGTAAAATTATGCTTTCAAATAAACTGAATACAAATTATGAAAAACTCCACATATTGACAGTAATTATTTTCTCTAGCCTATCAGCTTAAATTTAATTTCCAAGATTCCTGGTGCAATTTAAGACCTTAGACTAATATTAAATTCAGTGAGTTGATGAAAATCTTCAGATAATTTCTAGTTAAGTTGGAATACTGAAATGTGGTCACCAATCAAAGGTTATATAATAAATAAATATAACTTTTATTCTTATATTTTATGGAGTGGCTATTTGTTTGGATTACACTATGAAACATGGGGGTTTTGTAGACCAATTCAAGCAAGTGTAAAAAGGATGTATATGACTATAGAAAGTTGTAATATATGCGCTTGAGAATTTTGCACATCTGCCAAAATAGTTATTTTTAATAGTCTTCAATTACATAACTTCCAGTTTTCTCCTTGAAAGAGAATTACTTTGATTAGTGTAATTAATAAAAGTAGGAGTTAGAACCAAGGTAGAAACCAGAATGGACAAGGAATATGACTGTTATGAAAGGTAATGGAATGTAGTTTAGGTTTTCAAGAATAGAGTATCTTTGCCTAAAGTAATATGTTTTGTTGCTATCTCTGTCTTCACTGTGCTTGATGATAACTGAAATCTCAATTTAATTATTTTAGCTGGGCTACATGAAGTCTGCCCTATACATGCATGGTATAGGGACCAGACAAAGCTTTGGATAGTTTATATTCAGAAGTTGGGGCTCCCCTTTTCTGGCCTTCTCCTTTCTCAGATTTTCTCCTGACCTCCTGCTGCTCGTGTTATGCCAAACTCAGTCCTCTGTTACTTCAACCCAGTAAGTCTACAGTTTTCTTCTGACGTTTTAGTCCTCTGCCTGGTGCACACTAGGGCCAGCTATAAAATCAGGAAACTCACTCCTTGCTATTCCCTTCTTCCAAGTGCTGACCTCTCTCTAGTATCTGCCTATTTTGTTCATTCTCCATTGCCAATGAATGGCTGTTTTTTTAAATATTTTATCCAGAATTTATAAAAAGTATCTGTGGGAGGCTTGGTCCTATGGGTTTTATTTGATCTTTAGTGTAAGAAAAAAATGTTGTATGTATATTTTTCTACTTATCATGTTTCCCTCTTTCTTTGGCCCACTATTTCATGTAGAATACATTGACAGTCATTAGTTTTACAACTTAGTCTACAGATTCTGAATTATAGAGAACAGCTCATGATGGAATTGGGGAGAATATTGGCATCATCCGGAGATGATACATTTGTATCAGGATGAAATTGGAAAAGGGAGCACATTTCTGAATCATCAAGATTAGTGGTTTGAAAACACGTCTAAGTGCTTTGACTCACCTCATATGGATAGATGGAGTCTATTCCCCTCCACATCCAAACTAGCCTTCATGATGTGTTAAGTAAATGTTCTGTCACAGAACTGACACAGAAGAACTTCCAATGTTTAAAAAGCTGGCGCCTTCTTGTCACATGTGCCCTTGGGGCCTTGAGCCAAATGCTGGAGAACCTATGTCAAGAAACAAAATAAAAATAGAAAGAGATGCTTGAGGAGCCTCAGCTCACTGCCCACCCACAATGAAACATATGATTAATACATTTCCTATCATCAATATATAGATTAGACAGATAATTTTCAATATTTGCAGAATGTTTCATTCAATTGTGATCCATAGTTTATATACCCTGTTTACATTGAGTTTATTTTAAGAGAGGGAATAATTGAATTTTTTTGAGAAATATTAAGAATGGGAGACAAAGGGAAAATTGGAAATTCAAGGGCTCAGAGGTGGCTAAGCAAAATAAATGGAAATACTTGACATCAGATGTCAATTTCAAAAAAAAAAAGGTTTTCTTTAATTCAAAAAGTGGAAGAAACAACTTTTCTAACTACACATTAAAAAATTATAACAGCACTGAAAGTATCATGATCATGTATCTTCATTCCTATTATAGAAATGATTTTTTTCTAATCTATTCACATACTACTATTAAATCCAGTATCCTTTAGAACAGTTTTTGGTATACACATACAAAATTTACTCTACTTATGTATGTATGTTTGTCACTCAAATTTTATTGTGTGCATCATTAGCTAACAACCATTCTATTTGCTTTATAATAAATATAAAATAAGAATTCATAATGAAATAAAACCTACCCCAAAGATCCATTCTCATCATTAATTTAGAATTGAATGTTTTTACCATCCAAAAAATTAGAGGTTCAAACAATGATAGTTAAGTACATATATGTGGTACAAATTACAATGGAAAACAACAATGATTTCCTGATAAAAGCTGTAAGTTCCTAATTATAAATAGAGGTAATAAATTCTTCACATGAAATACCATAGGATGAACTATCATAAAATATACCTACATATATATGTGAAATATACTCGGCTTCATAATTTGTGGTCAATGTTGTTATTCACACACATGCACACATATACCCACACACATATATGTGTGTGTGTGTGTATAGATAGATAGATAGATAGATAGATAGATAGATGACTTTTCTAGGTATCTGTTTTGAAATTATTCAAATATATACACTAAGGAAAAACGAATGGAAATATAAAATGTTCCAGATACCGTCAGTTTGTTTTCAGCTAAAAGATACACAATGCTCCCTTTGTGAATCTATGGAGTTGAGGGTTTCTGTCCTTTCACTCAGCATTTCACCTGTCACAAAGCTGAAAGAAAGGTCTGTTTTGGCTTCCTACTTCCCATAGTCAGGATGAATGAGTGGAACAAAAGATACATGAATCCAAGAGTTTGGTAAAGCAGGAATACAAGTTTGCTCTGCTGAGTCCTAGGATTCCAAGTTGATGTGATTAGACACAGAAAGTAAATGGCAAATAACATAAGGAAGGAGATCACAGTTTGCAAAGCTTTTATGTGCACCTTGGTGCTGAGATGTTGAGATCCTTTGCCATGGAGCTGCATCTTCTTGACATGTTTACATGGAGAATAGATTAACAGCAGAAAAGATATTAGTGTCAGAGTGCAGGGTGTGACGTTTGCTGGCATGGTTACAGTCAAGTTTGAAAGCTGTATTGCATTCCTCAATTTGATCATCCAAGACAAATTTCCTTCATATTCTTTTGTCCACACACTCTCACCCGTGGTTATCAGAGCAAGATTACAAATGAAAAATACCAAGGGCCCCAACAGCATCACCAAACCAACATTCTTAATCCTTTTCTTTAGGTGGAGAAAAATAAGGTTGGAGAAATTGGCAGTCTTGAGCAAATGAAATATGCTGAGGCTAGTAACACCCAGATGCTGAAATGCTTGGTTATTGCTGAGACATTAGAACCAAAAATTCTTACTTCTAATCTATGTGAAGCCAAATTAAACACAGTTGCATACCAATGTAATAATATGACCCAGAGTAAACCAACTCTGGACACCACCAGAGCAGTGAGAAATTTGGTCAGCTGATGAGATCTTTTGTGTCTTAACCCACTCAAGGACACCTACTAGAGCTATGAAGCCATTGGCAACATTTCCAAGAACAAATGCAAACACTACCAGAATTGATAAAATGATGAGCAGAAAACATATCATGTTTGAACAAATGAAAAGAAAGAAAAAATGCAGCCTTAATAACACTGGTTGTGATTCCCTTAATATCCAGACCTTAATGTCGATAAACACTTGACTTTTAAATGTGTAGTAACATTTTCTGCCTTTAAATTCATGACTAATTTCAACAGGAAAGCACCATCATATGCTAATGGATGAATTCAAAGCTGTCTTTATAGAAATAGAAAATATTCTTATTCTCAAAACAGCTCAAATTCACTCCTCTTCATACACTGTCTGTCTTACTATATGCTGAAATATTTTATATTGAGGATGAAGTGAAAAGTAAATTCTCATGTGTTAGTATGCAAATAAAGGCATTTTTTTAATTGTTTTGCAATTGTTGTCCTTGCTAACCTCTCCATAATTTGTGTCCAGCATCGTCAGTTGTTACATAGGGAAATTTTAAAACCCAATACACATATCATACAGTACAGGTTTAAATTGTTTAAGGAGCTTGGTCATAACTAGGATAATACCAATATGGTTTGTTTAATACCAGAATCTAAACCTTTTATCAATATCATCCAAGATTATTTTGGAAAGTCCTGGGAGGCCAATACACCTTAAAATCTGGTTTCTGATAACCAATACATTTATATGACATCATTGTTAATAAGCTCCTCAATACATAGACACACATGCACTGACACACTTAGCAGATGCAATGAATTATTTTCTTATAAATCCCCAATTGGAAAACGAGTTTCCCCAGGAGGTCATCTAGGTGGAATTAGTCATATTCCACTCAGGGTTGTCAGACAATGAATAATATTTATCAAACATGTTTCTCATGCTTGGGCCTGCCAAGACCAGCTCGGTTGTGGAGACCCTAATCCTGTGGCGCCAGAGGAATTAAGACACACACAGAAATATAGTGTGTGGAGTGGGAAATCAGGGGTCTCACAGCCTTCAGAGCTGAGAGCCCCAAACAGAGATTTACCCACATATTTATTGACAGTAAGCCAGTGATAAGCATTGTTTCTATAGATTATAGATTAACTGAAAGTATTCTTCAGGGGAAACAATGGGATGGGCCGAAACAAAGGGATGGGTCTGGCGAGTTATCTGCAGCAGGAATATGTCCTTAAGGTGCAGATCGCTCATGCTATTGTTTGTGGCTCAGGAATACCCTTAAGTGGTTTCCTGCCCTGGGTGGGCCAGGTGTTCCTTGCTCTCATTCTGGTAAACTCACAACCTTCAGCATGGGTGTCATGGCCATCACGAACATGTCACAGTGCTGCAGAGATTTTATTTATGGCCAGTTTACTGGGGCCAGTTTATGGCCAGATTTGGGGGCCTGTGCCCAACATAGGCCTTTGGTAAATTTATTCTCAAGTCTGTTTTTTGTTTAAATATTAATTATTTAATTAAAACAGTCAGCAATTTTGCAAATATTTCTAAGTACGCTACACTTTGTCATATAATCCTGCAGTATCCTCCCACCACAGGCAGGGTGACTACCTGGAACTTGGACTCTGAATTCACTCATGTAATTTGCTTCAGTGAACAGGAAATTAGTAGACTTTACACAGAGATTTAAGACGGTTTCCATATTGGAGTTTCTTGCTCTTTTCCATTCACCGTGAGAACATCATCTGGTGAGTACACTGTTCCCAGAAGAAGAATGAGAAACTAATGGAGTCAGAATGCCACTGCTTTATCCAGCCTAAATCAGCCAAAGTAGCTTCAAGATGCAGAATGTGGCCCATCTCCAATCACCACAGCCATCCACCAAACCTAGCTGACAAAAATGAAATCCAAAGACATATGAGACACAAATATCTAATGCAGTTTTGGAGGATTTTCTCTTGCAGAAAAACTTAAGTGATATAGGTATTCTGCTAAGCCAAGCGTGTGGGAAACATGTCCACCCCTGTTGTGTCAGGAATTCAGGATCCAAGGGAAAAATAGATGGAAAATGTCAATGTTTTGTCACATGAAGTAGATAATTAAAACTAGAAGAAATATCTACTGAAAAATCTGGGGTTGGCAGGAAACATCTTGTCAAATTTTCAGTAGTCACAACTAAAATCAAAAATTTTCTAATTAAAATCTTTTAGAGCTGTACATGAATGTATACAGTGTATTTTTCCCTTTGGTATATAATGAGCAGAGTAATAATAATTTTCATGGAACATTTCTTCTGATTAATAATTTTTATATTATAACTAGACTGCACACTTAGAAATGAGCCAAAACAAAAATGGAAAACATAGCAATATGTCATAAACACTCATGTAACCATCAGGTAGGGCAAGACATGGAATGTTGCTAACAGCCTAGGTTTACCTCAATGTGTTTCCATCCCTCTACACCTTTCTTCACACCTCCTGTAATACGCAACGTCCATAATTTATGATGATCATTTTTTAAAATTTTTCTTTATACTTTACCAACTAGGTATGCAACCCTAAACTCAATAGCTTGGTTTGGTCTGCTTGGAACTCTGTATAGATACAATCCTATATGTTCGTATTCATGGCTTCCTGTGCTCAACATTATGGATCTGAAATGTAATCACATAACTGCATGTACATGTGATTCATTTCTTTTCACTTCTCTATGTTTTTTCATTTTATGATTTTATTGTAATTATTTATTCATCCTTATTTGATGTACATATGGGCAGCTTCTTTTCTGAGCTGTTAGAATAATTCTACAATGAGCATTCTTTCACATATCATTTGCTACAATTCCTTTGCATTTATATAGCTGGGTGTAGAATTACAGGGTCCTTGATTATGACATTCAAATTCTCCTCACAGACATAGAAAAGCCCAAAACACAGTTTGACTAAATTTATTCCTGTCACCTTTATCTCCAGTCTCTTTATTGCTATTTGCATATATCTTATCAATTATACGTTTAATCCAACAAGACAATATTGTTTTATACAGTCAACATTTATTTAGAATTACACACTTATTTTTCGTCATTAATTTTTATTGCTCCTTGCATGTTCAACTTTGTATTTTCAGTAATTTTTATTATATCTGAAAAATATCATTTTCAATTTCTGTTTATGAAGGTCTACTACTCTTTGGAAACACACTGAAGACATGATTCCTTTGAATTCCTCCTTCCATATTTTCTGTTAAAATCAGGTTGTATTTAGAATGCAATTCTTATCAACATACTCTATCTTCTACCTCTAGCTACTTTTCAGATTTTCTACTGGTCTTTGGTGTCCTGTATTATTTTTTGTTAACTTGATTTTAGTTATCATGCCTGAAGTTTGTGATTACTAAAGATATATGCTGGGATACATTTTCACTTTTGGAAAAATCCCTGCAACATTTCTCTCGCTCTGTTTTCTCTCCTCTAATCTTACAGAACTCTACAAGTATGTTAGGTGTTTTGATGATAGCATCAGTGTGTTACCCTCTAGCCTTGCATTTTCCATTTCTTTCTCTCTATGCTTCATTCTGTGTAGCTATCTTCTAATTCACTAATTATCTCTTCTCGTGCTCTAACTGGTTGACTCTTTCTATTGGATTCTCAGTACTGATATTTCATTTTTTTAGTCTTATTGTTTTAGTGTTCAGAATAATCTTTTATTCTCTTTCTGAACATTATTTTCTATAGGAAAACTGAACAAACTACTCTTAACACTCTGTTCTTTTTAAAAATGTTTCTGATTTTTTTGATTTTTTGTTTTTTGTTTTAGTATGTTAGAAATGAAAACGGTAACAATTTTCTTCTTTTCCCAACACTTTAGTCAGAGAATAGAATAAAAGCTTTGTGTTAGAATTTACCTTCAATTTGAAAGAAACTGGAAATTAAGTTGATGTGAGTAGCTTTTTTTGGATATTAGCTTGTCTGTTGCTGGGTCCCCACCACAAACTCTGCTCAAAGGGAACTCAAAGAGCAGCACTGGATTTCAAAATATCATTGCAATAGATAAAATATAGTTCATTAACCACAGATACATCATTGTATTCCATGACATAATTTTCACTTTGCTTATGTTGTTGAAAAGGTGCTCTGTGCCTTTGAATTACATCATTATCCAAATGATATAGACAAGATGTGGGGGAGAGCTTACTTCTGTTTGATTTATTTAGCCCTAAAATCCTCTCTTTAGAAATAAGAGCTTGATCATGAAATGGTTTATTTATTTTTCTTACTAAGCAATTTTATTTATACTAAAATCAAAATCTTTTTATAGTGTTCCTTGGATTAGTTTAATATCATCTATAATTGTTTTCTTAAGCAATGTATTTTAAACTACACTACACTACACTTAACTTTCTAAATCTCAATGTATTCAGCCTGACATGAACTTTGCTGTTTACTAATGTAACTTTCCCACAATGATATCTCTTGGAAATTACATAGACATTACCCAAATTATGTATGTAAATATTTCAGAAATAAATCATTTAATAAGACAGATGTAAATGTAGATGATGATAATAATGATGATGATGTCACCTGAAAGGGAGAATGTTACTAAATAATTGTGATTCGAGTCTTCTTTTCAAAGCACTAGAGTTAAGGGTGGTGGGAGAACACTATTATTCATCCTCATGGCTTTACATTTTGTGTGTGTGTGTGTGTGAGATGGAGTTTCGCTCTTGTCACCCAGGCTGCAGTGCAATGGCACAATCTCAGCTAACTGCAACCTCCGCCTCCAAGGTTCAATTGATTCTCCTGCCTCAGCCTCCCAAGTAGCTGGGATTACAGGTGCTGTCCATCACATCCAGCTAATTTTTATATTTTTAGTAGACAGTGGGTTTCACTATATTGGCCAGGCTGGTCTGGAACTCCTGACCTCAGGTGATCCACCAGTCTCAACTTCCAAAGTGCTGGGATTACAACCATGAGCCATGGTGCCTGGCTCGATTCTTATATTATTCTCAGAATCAGGCCTAGACAAATACCCTCACATAGTATTTCATCAAGAGTAACACAAAATCAACATATTTCTAATGATTTGCAAGATATTTTTTCTTTTACCACATTCTAAAAATTACCCCAAAAGTGACCTCTAGCAAAGAATACTCTCTTTTTGGCTGTTTAATTTTATTCCACTTTTATATGAACTTACACAAATACTCTGTGCAATTATAAAGTGTATAAGCTTCATCTTTTAATAGCATTATTAACAAGTGAAATTCTCTCTACTGTTTATTTTTAATCTCAGCTACTGTCACAAAATCTGGGTGATTTTATTACAGCAGTCAAAGTAGTTACACTAAATATGCTTTATGCCTCAACAAAATTATCTTTCTACTAATTCTTCTCTAATATTCAAAAACTTTGTACTATCAAAATATTTTTCCTCACATATGTGTACACATGCATGGTATAATCTTTGAATGGTAAAAATGGGCATAATTATTTCATTTAGAGATAAATTTATAAAAATTGTCCTGTGTATTTAATATCTATATTACTATAATTTATTGGAAATTCACTAATTTCTGCCTCTTTGAAATGTTATCATAAATAATGAAATTGGAAATAAGAAAAAAAGGTGTCTAGTGTAATACAGATGCTCAGAATCTGATGTTTCTTTTTTTTTTTTTTTTTTTTTTTTTGAGACGGAGTCTTGCTCTGTCACCCAGGCTGGAGTGCAGTGGCGAGATCTCGGCTCACTGCAAGCTCTGCCTCACTGCAAGCTCCGCCTCACTGCAAGCTCCGCCTCACTGCAAGCTCCGCCTCACTGCAAGCTCTGCCTCACTGCAAGCTCCATCTCCCAGGTTCATGCCATTCTCTTGCCTCAACCTCCGGAGTAGCTGGGACTACAGGCGCCTGCCATCAGGCCTGGCTTATTTTTTGTATTTTTAGTAGAGTGTTAGCCAGGATGCTCTTTTGTTATGAACACATGTAATTATACTAGACATACTTCTTTTAACCAAATATTATGCCAAATGACTTTGAGAAAATATGATTAGTTAACAGCATACTGTAAGGCAACTTTCAGCATTGTTTAACAACTACTTAAAAGGACCCAAAGAAAATAATATGTTGAAATATCAAATAAGTATATAAGTGTAATGAAGGTGCCTATGGGAAAATACAAATTCTACCATTACTGTTATGGATAATAATGATGAGTAGTAAACATACCATGTCTGAATTTTTTTAAGGCAGGCCTAATATCAATGGGCAATATTCCCTTTAAGGTCCTGACCTTAATTTCTATGTGCACCTGATTTCTGATTGTGCAGTAATGTTCTTGTTCCTTTTAAATTCTCTGACTAATGTCAAGCAGGAACGCACCGGGCCATGCTACTGAATGAGTTCAAGGCTGTCTTAATGGAAAACATGATAATTTCCAAAACAGCTCAAATTAACTCCTATTCAAATGCTGTGACCTTGTTATAAGATAAAATGTTTCATGCTGATGTTGAAGTAAAAGCTGAATTCTCATTTGCCAGCATGCAAATCAGGTCATATTCTTATTCATCATTTTGCCATTTATTCCTTGTTTAACCTCTCTATAATTTGTGCTGAGCAATGGCAGTTGTAAGGGAAATTTTCTAACCTAATACATAGATCCTACATCAGATGCCTACACTGTTATATGCAGCTCGGTCAAAACTAGAATCACGACCACTGTTGATTCACCTTTTCTGTGCCAGATTTAGTGAGTCCTAACTTTTCCTACCAAAAGCATCCAAGGTTTTCTTGGGAAGCCCAGGAAGGCCAATATTCCTAAAAATCTCGTTGCTGCCAACTAATAATTTTGTATAACTTATTGTTAACAAGCTCATTAACACAAACACGTTCACACACACACATACACACACCTCATAGTTGGGAAATATTATTGTCCTATAATTTCTAAAATGAAAAAATAATTTTCTTACTTGGGCTTTTCAGTGCATTTTCAATCTTTATCAAACTTAGCCTCTCATATTTAGGACTTTGACTAAATTATTCTCTTGAGCCTAATACTTAAATATTAGTTGTTTAATTAAAATACTCAGCAATTTTATAACTATTCCTTGGGCACTTAAAAAACATGTTTTCCATTGAAGAGTCTACACTTCTCTGTGTATGAATAGTCAGTTGTATTTTCCTCTATTTAATTCATTTTTGATTACTTAATGGTTTAGATGAATAGATGTTAAAATCAGTCTCCAATCTTGGATTTTTATTTCCTTTCAGTTTTTACAGTATGATGGTTTCTAAGAGGGGATCTTGGAGTCAGACTGCCAGGACAGGAAACCAGATTCCCTGCTTGGTATAGCTATGATCTGAGACTCCATTTTACAACTACTCCCTGCCTCAGTATTATCACCTATAAAAAGCAGATGATTGGCCAGGCCCGTGGCTCCCAGCAATTTGGCAGGCTGAGGCAGGTGGATCACCTGAGGTTAGGACTTCAAGACCAGTATGGCCAACATGGTGAAACTCTATATCCACTAGAAATGCAAAAATTAGCCAGGTGTGGTGGTGCCCGTCTGTAATCCCAGGTACTCAGATGGCTGCAGCAAAAGAATCATTTGAACCCAGGAGGTGGAGGTTGTAGTTAGTCGAGATCACACCACTGCACACCAGCCTGGGAGACAGAGCTAGACTCCGTCTCGAGAAAACAACAACAAAAAAAGCAGATGATAATAAATCTGTCTTTGGCTAGTTTTCTTATGAGTTAACATACTATTTGTATAACTGCTTTCCATTTTACCTTTTTGCTATAGGCAGGAACCAAAGATTGTTAATTATTGATTTGAACCTGTTTTACTTGATATTTAAGACACCAGTAAGAACTTTCACTTTTTTTTTTTTTTCTTCTTAGACAGAGTCTCCCTCTGTTACCCAAGCTGGAGTACAGTGGCAGGATCATAGCCCACTACAGCCTTGAAACCCTGGGCTCAAGCAATCCTCCTGCCTCAGTTTCCCAAGTATTTGGAACTATAGGCATGCAGCACCACGCCAGCTAATTTTTCAATTTTTTGTAGACATGGAGTTTCCATATGTTGCAAAGGGAACTCCTGCTCTCAAGGGATTCTCCCACCTTGGCCTCCCAAACTACTAAGACTACAGGCATGAGCCATCACATCCAGCCTGCAGGGGGAGGTTTTGAAGGTCAGATGCTACCTAGAGTTTTGTCTCATGTCCATCCCAAGGTGGATCTAATCAGTTTGTAGTTACTACCTCTTCCTGAACGTGTAATTGAACTGGATACGTATGGCAGCTGGCAGGACTTTCACATTCTTCGTGAACTGTAGAGTAAGGGACATTATTATAGCAGGACCAAGTTGAAGCCTCTGAAATTCTCCACTGCTGGCAACCCAATGTATAAAATATAATAACCGCATTCCCTAAGGAATGGAACTGGTCACTGCCGTGACAAAACACTTGCAAGTTACAGGGGATGGTAGTCCTTTCTATAACCGGATTCACTTAACCTATCTGGCCTCTACCAAAACCAGATGGATTATAGAATGAGTGCAGATTACCATAAACTTCAATCAACACTCACAAATGCTTTCTAGGATGTACTGTCTTCACAGAGCAGAGCATAGCTTCTGGCACTTTTTACGGGGCTCGTCATTTGGTGAATATTTGTTAATCTACACCCTTTATGAGGGAAAATCAAGACAATTTGCCTTGTATTGTAAGAATAATAGCACTGCTTCACTGTTTTATGTCAGGACTATGTCACTTCTGTTCTCTGTTTAATTTACATTTTTTTAAAAACATCATGCTAATTTAATATATTAATAATATTACAGCCCGGGCCCTGTGGCACATGATTGTAATTCCAGCACTTTAGGAGGCTGACTTGGGCCCAGGAGTTTGAAACCAGCCTGGGTAACATGGTGAAATCCCAGCCCTACAAAAAATACCAAAATTAGCCAGGCAAGGTGGTGTGTCCCTGCAGTCCCAGCTGCTAGCAATGCTGAGGAGGGAGAATCAACTGAGCCCAGAAGGTTGAGGCTGCAATGAGCTATGATCCTGCCACTGCACTCCAGCCTCATGGACAGAATGAGACCCTGTCTCAAATAATAATTATATATTATTTGGTAAAATAAACAGGAAGAGGCAAGATTCTTAATATTGTAAAATACTATAACATTGAATGGAAGTAAAATACCAGAAGAAAAGAGATATGTGAAGATTCAGGGACTGACAACATAGGTGATGTTTTCAGGTTTTCAGTGTCCCTAGTCCACATGTCAAAACAATCTTTTTTAAAGTAAACGGCATGTTGCTCTCTCTCTATATTTCCTATCACTACAAAAGAGACACAGTGTTTTGGGGGCCTACTGGGATTTTGGAGCCAACATATTCCACATTTGAGAATATTGCTCTGACTCATTAATGAAGTTTCTATAGGCTACTGGTCTCAAATGGAGCCCAGAACAAAAGAGGGCTCTACAGCAGATATAGGTTCTGATCCAAACTGCTATGGCCACTGAGCCAAATGATCCAGCAGAATTCAAAGCTGTTAGAGGCATACATAGTGGGCATTATAGGACTCTGTGCACGTCTCTGACAAGCCTGTGGGAGAGGGGAGAGCAAATCCCTATGGAATTAGTGCAAGACCATTCCCTCTTCAGCAGAGGAGTATCCTCTGTGCAACTGTGCAAGTCATATGCTCATAAAGCCAGCCATGACTGGAGGGCATGAGTACATCTGAGCGGCACAAAGAGTGGTGGTATTGGACACAGACATGTGCTTTCTTAGATTCCCTTCACTATCTCCTATTCCCCTGGCCAGCACCTTGCCTGATCCAGATCATCCTTCCATTTGGGACTTGAATGGAACACCACACTGTGGGCATGAGGTCTGACTTTCACAACCTCCACCTAGGGACTGGATGATGGAAGGCAGAACAGCAGAGATGGTAGTTCTGCCTCAGGGAAACAATGGCCAATGGGAAATCAAATACAGAAGACAACTGAGCAGATACATTCTCCATTCTCCCTCCTCTCTCTCATCCCTGGACTAATGCCGGCTGTGGTTTCCCCTTGTAGCCCTTCTGGAAAAGTGCTGGGAGCCAAGTGTACGCATCTGATGACCGTCATGCTGTCTCTCTCACCTCACTGTGAAGTGGCTGCCAGCAGAGCCATACCAGACATCACCACACATTGTTTCACATTTGTTCCTGTCTCAATTTCCACATATCCTTGCCATTTTTGTCTTGAACTTGATTTCTAAATAAATGTCATCACCTTAATAACAGGTAATACATAAAAAACATTTTAGTAAAGTAGCTGGTTACTAACTCAATTTTTAAAATGAAATGCCATTTTTGTTTAAATAATAATCAACTAGAAAATATCATAATACAAATATATAATTCACAATAGAAAAAAATACATATTCAAATAGACCAAGGTTGTTTATACGCTTTCTAAAAATATTGTAATAGGCGCCATCTAATTTTGATGTTCTACCTTGTCTCCAATTCAGACACCTGATACAGTTGCATCAAGACTATATTATTGTCATATTTCCCCTAAAATTGTGGAATAGCCAAACTTTTCCTCTGCGGAAGGATTCTGCTTGGATAAGCCTGTAACCTTAACCTGAGAACAGAACAGGGGAATTCATGCAACTGCAGATTTTGTGATGAGTTTCCCTTTCATTGGTTTACCACATCAGCTTACCCATTTTATCCACCCATTTATTTGTTCATTAAAATATCATTTTTGACCATCTATTCTTGTTGCTGGGTTCTAGGTCCTGGGAGTCAACAGAAAGCAAGAAAGAGATGAGATCATCTTGCTCTCTGATCTTACATTCAACAGAAAGCAAGACAGAGATGAGATCATCTCTGATCTGATTTTACAGTTCTTACATTGTACTGAGGAAGATACATGATTTTAAAAAAACACATAAATCACATGTGGGGATGATTTATCTTAAGGTTTAAATCACATTTTTAAAATTTCATAACACCAAAATTAATACAGTCATGTAGAATTTAGCTGTGAACAAGACTGTACATTTCCATCTCATAATAGAACTTCCTATTAATGAATATGTCAACCACTTTCATTTCATCATTGACAACAAAATTATAACTGTAAAGCACATTCTATAATTAAAACATAGATTTCATAGATGCCATTTTAACATTTACAAAAATTTCATTGATTTATTTTCCATAATTTCTATACTATTTTTACATTGATAGTTTTTTTTTAGAATAAGGAAGATTTGGGTTCTGTTACCTGAAGTTTAGAAGGAATTTTATAAATGGAAGGTAAGGGTATAATTAACAATTCAGGGGCTTAAAAGTGCTTTAGAAAAAAATACTAAAATAGTTTACATCACCTCTCAACTTCAAAAAAAAAGCTTTTCTTTAATCCAAAAGCTGGAAGAAATGACTTTTCTAACTACATATGGAAACTGATAATAGCAATCAAGATCACAATCATGATTTTTCATCCCTATTATAGAAGAGATTGTTTTCTAAGCTATTCACATGCTTGTATTAAATCTAATATTCCTCAGAACTGTTTATGGTAGACATAGTTGAAACTTACTCTACATATGCTTGTCACTCAAATTTTATTGTGTGCATTGTTTTCTATCAATAATTCTGATTGCTTTTTACTAAACATAAAATAGGAATTCATAATGGAATAAAACCTCAAAGACACATCCTTATTATTGATTTAGAATTGAATGACCTTACCATCCAAAAAGTTACAGGTTCAAACAATGAATTCGAAGCACACTGTGGTATATTTGTGTGGTTCAAATAACAATAGAAAACAGCAATGTCTTTCCTGAGATAAGCTGATAGTTCTTAATAATTATAAATATAGATCATAAATTATTCAAATGAAATATAAAATACATAAATGAAATAGGTATGGATTCATAATTCTTAAGAATTTTTGTCATATTTTGTATAATTTGGCAGTTTGTGTGAAAAAACAAAAAAGAGTATGTCACTGTCAATGTTCTTTTGTTTTTCATACAAACATACACACAAAAATACATATATATACATACGCACTTTTTTAGACTAACGTTAGGTAAAAGACTTTTCTAGGTACATGCTTGAAAGTTATTCATATACATACATTACAGAAAACACAGTAAGAAATATAAAATGCTTCATATAACACGTTTGTTTTCTGCTAGAAGATACACAATGCTGCTCTTGTGAATCTATGAAGATGAAGGCTTCTCTCCTTTCACCCAGTACCTCACATGCCACAAAACTGAAAGAAAAGTCTGCTTTAGCTTCTTGTTTCCCCAAATCAGGATGAATGGGTGGGTTGAAGGATAGCTGAATGCAATAGCTTCGCAGAACATGAAGACAGGTTTGTTTTCCAGACTCTCAAAACTCCAAACTGACATGATTATGGACAGAAAGTAAATGGCACATAACAAGAGGAAGGAGGTCACAGTTTGCAAAGCTTTTATGTGGACCTTCATGCTGGGATCTTGAGATCCTTTGCCATGGAGCTGCATCTTTTTGAGATGTTTACACAGAGAACAGATTAACAGCAGAAAAGATATCAGGGTCAGAGTGAAGGGAACTAAGTTTGCTAGGATGGTTACCGTTGTATTTGAAAGGTACATTGCACTCCTCAGTTTGATCTTCCAAGTCATGTTTCCTTCATATTCTTTTGTCCATATAATCTGATTCATGTTTATCACAAAAAGATGACAAACCAAAAATAGCAAAGGCCCCAATAGTATCACCAGAACAACACTCTTAACTCTCCTCTTTAAGTGAAGAAAAATAAGGTTGGAGAAATTGGCAATCTTGAGCAAATAAAATATGCTGAGGCTAGTAGCAAGCCAGTTGCTGAAATGGTTGATTACTGCCCAGACATTGTAAGCAGTAATTCTTACTTCTATACTGTTAAAAGCTGGATTCAACTCAGTTGCATACCAATTTAATACTAATACCCAGAGTAAACCAACTCTGGAGACTGCCAGAGCAGTGAGAATTTGGTCAGCAAAAGAGATCTTTTGTCTCTTGAACCACTCAATGGAATTTACCAATGCTATGAAGCCATTAGCAAAATTTCCAATCACAAATGTAACCACTATTAGAATGGAAAAAATGATGGGCAGAAAAGTTATCATGTCTGAACAGACAAAAAGAAATTTTTAAAATGCTGGTGTAATATCACTGGTTGTGATTGCTTGAATATCCTGACCTTAAATTCTATATGCACCTGATTTGTGTATGTGCTGTGACATTCTTTTTACTTTTAATTGCTGTGACCAGTGTCAAGCCAGAAATCACCATGGCATGCTAATGGGTAAGTTCAACGCTCTCTTTATGGAAAATATTCTTATTTTCAAAACAACTCAAATTAACCCATTCATTCACTGTCTGTCCTTGTTATAGGCTGGAATTATTCATACTGAAGTTGACATGAAACCTGAATTCTCATTTGCTAGTATGCAAACAAGGACATATTCACTTTCAGTGTTTGCAATTTTTCCTTGTGTAACCTCTCCATCATTTGTCTTTAGTGACTTCAGTTGTTAGGGAAGTTTTATAACCCAATACAGAGATCATATAGTAAATGTCTAAATTCTTAAAAGGAGCTTGGTCATAATTAAGTTCATCACCTATATGGACTTTTTTAAATGACAGATTTAAATACACAGAATCCAAACTGCTTTTATCAAAAATATCTAAGATTTTCTGGAGAACCTCAGAATCTGGTTGCTGCTAATACGTTTGTATAACTTCATTATTCACAAGCTCATAAATACACACACAAACACACACATGTGCACACCACTCACGAATGGAACAAATTATTTTCTCATCAGTTCCAAAATAAAAAAAGGAGTTTCCAGGAGGTTGTCTAGGTGAAGTTAGTCCTATTTTCCCACTCAGGGCTTTCAGCTCATGAATAATATTTATTTATCAAACATATCTCTAATTCTTAGGCCTTTGGTAAAGTTTCTCTCAAGACTAATGTTTAAATATTTATTACTATACAAAACATTTAGCAATTGTATAAGAATTCCTGAGTACCCAACCCTTTGATATATAGTCTTGCAGTATCCTGCCATCACTGAGAAGGCTGACTACCTTGCCCCTGAACTTGGAGTACAACCATTTAACTTGCTTTGATAAACAGAAAATTACTACACTTTGCATAGAGATTTCAGATGGCTTCCATAATGGGGATTCTTCCTCTTTCCATTTACCATGAGAATATCACCTGGCTAGTACACTGTTCCCAGAAGGAGAGTGAGAAACTAATGAAGTCAGATTGCCCCCACCTGATCCAGACCAAATTGGCCAAACTCTAACTACTACCAAGATTCAGAATTTGGTCCATTTCAAATAAACAGAGCCATCCACCAAACCCAGCTTAAAAAAAATGAAATCCAACAACATGTGAGATATAAACATCTAATGTAGTTTGGAGGGTTTTTCTCTTGCAGAAAAACATAACTGATAAATCAACTCTGCTAAACCAAGAGTGTGGGAAATATGTACAACCTTGTTGTGTCAGGAATTCAGGAGCCAAAAGCAAAAACAGATGGGAAATTGCAAAGGTTTGTTCTTGTGAGGTCGATAATTAAGGCTAGAAGAAATCCATTGGAAAGTTCTGGGGTTGGAGGATAACATCATCTCAAATTTCCTCACGTTGCAACTAAATAAGAAAGTGCTCACTTCAACTCCCTTAGAGTTGTATAACAATGTATACAAATAGTTTATTATTGCCATCAGTATATAATGAGATGAATAATAATAATTTCTATGAGACATATCTCCTAATTAAACATTTTACATTAAAATTATAATGCACACTTAGAAATGAACCAAAACAAAAATGGGAAATACCGCAGTGTATCATAAACATTCAAGTAACCATGATGCAGGCAAGACAAGGAACACCAAACACAACCTAGGTCCACCTCCATGCCACTTTCCAAGTCCCTAAACATTTCTTCATACCTCCTGAGATAAGCAATATCCAAAATTTATGGTGATTATTTCCTTAATTTTCTTTACACTTTACCAACTAGGTATGCAACCCTAAACTCCATCGCTTGGTCTGGCCTGCTTTGCACTGCGTGTAGGTGCAATCCTACATGTTCTTCTTGTTTGTGGCTTCTTGGACTCAACATTGTGTTTCTGAAATTTAGTCACATAGTTGCAAGTACATGTGATTTTTTTTCACTTCTCTATACTGTTCCATTGTGTGGATTTACTGTAATGATTGATCTATCCTTAATATATATTTGGCCAGCTTCTTTTTTGAACAGTTACGAATAATTCTACTAGAGCATTCTTTCATATATCATTTGATGCAATTCCTCTGTATATATACCTTTGAGTAGAATTACAGGGTCATTGTGCAAAATATCCTCATAGACATAGAAAAGTTTAAAAGATAATTTAACTAAATGTACTCCTGTCAGCTTTACCTCCATTCTATTTTTTGCCATTTGCATGTATCTTATCAATTATATAATTACCCCAACAAGACATTATTATTTTATGCAGTAAACATTCATTTAGAATTATGCACATATTTACCACTTCATTAATTTGTATTCCTTTTTGCATATTCAATTTAATAGTTTCAAAAAGTCCTTTTATTGGCAAGGCAGGGTGGCTCACACCCATAATCTCAACATTTTGTAAGGCTGAGTCAGGAACACCCAGGAGTTCAAGACCAGCCTGTGCAACACAGCGAAACTGTGTCTACAATAAATGAAAAAGCCAGGCATAAGGAAGCTACTCACAAGGCTGAGGTGGGAGGATGGTTTGATCCCGGGAGTTCCAGACTGCAGTAAGCCATGATCCTACCACTGAACTCCAGCCTGGACACCAGATTGAGACTCCAACTCCACATAGAATAATACTGATAATAATAATAATTTTTCTATTATCTGAAAAAAATATCATTTTAAGTTTCTGTTTATCAAGGTCTATTCTACTTTTGAAATGCACTGAAGGCATGATTCCATTGAATTCTAGCTTCATTTTTGTCTGTTGAAAATCAGGTTGTCATTTAGACAGTTATTCCCTTTAACATAATCTGTCTTTTCCTTTAGTTACCTTTCAGGTTTTTTATTGGTCTTTGATGTCCTGTCATTTTATATTAATTTGGTTTTAGTTATCTTGTCTGAAGTTTGATGGTTTCTAAAAATATATGAACTGATACACTTTACCACTTTTGGAAAAATCTCCACAATGCTTCTGGCCCATTTTCTCTCTTCTAATCTTCTGGAACTGCAGAAGTATGTTAGTTGTTCTGATTGTAGCTTCAATGTCTCTGACCCTCTAGCCTTATATTTTCTACCTCTTGGTCTCTTTATGCTTCATTCTGGGCAGTTATCTTCCAATTCACTAATTCTTTCTTATGTTTAACTGGTTCTCAACTCTGTCTATTGGATTCTCAATATTCATTACTCTTTTTTATCTTATTGTTTTAGGGGTAGAAATGAACTTTTATTCTCTTGCTATAAATCATTTTTTAATGGAGAAACTAAACAAAGTATTTATAACACCAACTTCTTAAAAAATAGTTTTTGTAAATTTTTAGCACACCTGACATGAAAATTGTAGTGATTTTCTTCTTTTTGTAATACTTAGGTCACAGAAGAGATTAAAATTATGGTCTACGCATTCTCCTGCAACTTGGAAGAAACTGGAAATTGATTTGATGTGAGTAGCTTTTTTTGGATAGTAGCTTGTCTGTTGCTGGGTCATCACCACAAACTCTCCTCACAGGGAAATTCAGTGAGCAGCACTGGATCTCAAAATGTCATTACAATTAATAAAATATAATATCTCAACCACAGCTCCACCTTTCTATTCCATGATTTAAATTTTACTCTGTTTTTATTAGCAGAAATCAAGACTTCTTCATTTATAACAATCTTTAAAAGATCAAAGAGTAAAACAGTACATACAAGTTTATGAAAGATTGAAGAACTTTAAGTCTCATGGAAACAAAACTGAATCTGGTGTTTCTAAAGAATTCCACCATTTAATCCCTATCCGTGAGTATAGTTTTGTTTATAGAACTATAACTTTCGAACTCCACCATCACTCACACAAGTGTGACAGAAGATCTGAGGTCTTAACTCTGTTTGACTATTTGGTCCTAAAATCCTCTCTTAGAAATAAAAGCTAGCTCATAAAATGTATCATTTGCTTTGTCCTTCTTACTGGTTAGTTTTAGTTACACTAAAATCTAAATTGTTTCTATAGTGATCATAATGAAACAAAGATTAGTTTAAGCTCATCTATAAATAATTATTTGCTTAAGCAATATATTGTAAAATAAGCTATACTTAATTTCTAAATCTACATGTATTGAGCATGACTAAGCTTTGCTGTTTACTCCTGTAACTTTCCCACAATGATGGTCTTTTAAAAATTACTTATTTTCCAAATTATGTATTTAAATATTTCAAAAATATATCATTTAATGAGATAGATGTATATATAGATGATGATGATAATAATTATGGCAGGTAAAAGGGAGAATGCTATTTGATAAATGTGATTTCCATCTTGTTTTTTAAGTACTGGAGTTCAGGGTAGTGAGAGAACCCTACTATTCTTCCTCATGGCCTCATGTTTCTTCTATGATTCTCAGCATCAGGCCTAGAGAAGTATCCTCATGTGGTAGTTCATCAAGAATAATGTAAAACCAACATATTTTCAAGAATTTCTTTGCTTCTTTTTCTTTTACTACATTTTAAAAATTCATAGCAAAAGTGACATCCAATAATTAGGATTCTATTTTGGGGCTTTTTGGGCATTTTTCAATATGAATATAGAAAAATACTCTCTGCAATAATACAGTATATCAACTTCATTTCATCTTTTAATAGCATCATTAGCAAGCCAAATTCTTGCAAGCCTTTTTCACATTCTTAGCTATGGTGACTAAATCTGGATCATTTTACTATAGCAGTGAAAGTAGCATTATATATGCACAAACATGCTCAAAGATCATGCTAAATATGTTTTATACCTTAACAAATTTGCCTTTCTATGATTTTTTTCTCCAATGCAGAATCAAAAAATTTATATTAACAAAATATTTTACCCAACACACAGGTGTACACATGATTAGTATTGTGAAATTAGAATGCTAACAATATGAATACAAATATTTCATTTAGAGACACATTTTGGGATAATAGGTCTATATATTTAACCTCCATCATACTATAATTTATTGGAAATTCATGACTTTGTGACACTTTGACATGTGTATTATAAATAATTAAATTGGAAATAAGAAAAAAGGTGTTTAGCTGTCATAAATATTCAAGTTTTGATGTTTCAAATTCATATTAGCATTAAGAAGGTGGATTTACAGTTCTTGCTTATGTCTTCTTTTTAAAAAAATATTAATTTAAGAAAAGTTTCAGGGCAGGTCTAGTGGCTCACATCTGTAATCCCAGCATTTTGGAAGGCTGAGGCAGTTGGATTGCCTGAGCACAGGAGTTCAAGTCCAGCCTGGGAAACATGCCAAAACCCTGTCTCTACCAAAAACAGAAAAAATTAGCAGGGCGTGGTGGTGCACGCCTGTTGTCCTAGCTACTCTGGAAGCTGAGATGGGAGAATTACTTGAGCCTGGATAGCAGAGGTTGCACTGAGCCAAGATTCTGCTTGTGCACTCCAGCCTGGGCAACAGAGAGAGACCCTGTCTCAAAACAATAAGAAAAATTTTAAATTTTAACTTGGATTTCTTAGTACCATAATGCTCTATTCTCCTTTATTCAGCAAATACTCTAATAACAATGGTATCTATAAGAATATGCTGTATCACCCTAATTTTATATGTAGGAATGTATTTTATGTTTCTGCTTTTTTAACTTTTTTTTTTTATTGGGGAGCATAACTTACATATGGAGCATAATAAAACCTAATAAACAGTAAGAGAAAAAATTATAACATTAACATCGATGTTACCACACCTTGGTCAGAAAATAGAATTTGCCAGTAATCCAGACACTCCCAATATATGTCTTCTTGCTGATATTTCCCGTTTATCTCCTCCCTCCTGATTATCCCAATTGTTATGATGATCACTCATATGTTTCACTGTAGAGTTTTATCACCAATGTAACAAATTACAATATATTAAAAATATTTTTCTTGAACTTTATGTAAATGAGATTATACTGAATGTATTTTTCCATCTTGATAATTCCTCTCACATTTGTGAGTATTATTATCTATGTAGCTCAAATTTGTTCATTTTCTTTGTTGTATTATTCTGTTGTAAACATGTCTGTCTAGTTCATTAATTTTGATCACTGTATAGTATTCCATTGTATAAGTATGCCACAATTTGTTTATCCATTTGGAGGTCTGAAAGACATTTGGAGGACATGCATAAAGATAAATTTATATTCTTATTTCATACCATACACAAAAAATAACTCATATTTGATTATAGAGCTATACGTAAAAGGTGAGATTAGTAACTAAGATACTAAAACATACTACCTGTACAACTGCAAGTAATATAAGTGGGTTAATCAACCATAATTCCATCTGTATATTTCTCTACTTAGATCATTATTTCTATAATAATAATAATCCCCTGCATAGTAATCTATCAATATGTATAATGCTATTTTAAATAAAACTAAATTAGATGGTGGGTCACCCTCACTCTGATTTAGTGGAAATTCAAGCAAAAATATTATTAATACTCCATCTTTTCCCTTAGATTTTTGGTATTATTACTTCTATTTTTCATTTTTTGAGACATGGTCTCACTCTGTAGCCCCAACTGGAGTGCAGTGGTTTCGGATTGGCTCACTGCTCTCCACTGCTCTCTACAGCTCCCAGCCTCAAGCTATCCTCCCACCTTAGCCTCCCAGGTAGCTAGGACTGCAGGTGGACACCACCTCACCTAGCTAATTGTCATATTTTTGCTAGAGACTGGGTTTCACCATGTTTCCTAGGTTGGTCTCCAATAATTGTGCTCAAGAAATCTGTCTACCTAAACCTCCCAAGGTGCTCAATTACAGGCTTGAGCCACAGCATCCAACCTGGTACTGTTACTTCTAAATGTAAATTTGACATTTGAAGGAAAAATATTTACATAATGTGCTATATGCCAAGATGTGTGAATAAATAATTAATATAAATGGATAATCACCCTTACGCTTGTCTGTTAACTGATTTGGCTACATTGTCAGTAAGGAGAATACATGAGATCACCAACACAACAGGCATCATTGCAGAGATTGTAGAATTGAGATCTTGGGCAATCTCATGTTTTCAGTTTAGAGACAAAAGACAACTAGCAAAGGAGAATGAGAAGTGGAGTGGTGCCCAGTGAACAAAGATAAAATCAGGAAAGGGCATCATCCTGAAATGCAAATAAACTACGTTCAATGTGGCTAATAGAGCATGCAACATGAAGACTAACCTTGGCAACATAGACTCTGGTGATCTTGGAAACGTCAGAATCAATGAAACGATGACAGCAGTAGCTTCATTGGAATGAGTTCATAAGCCAATAGTTGAAGAGGCTTCACACTTTGATAAATACTTATAAACCAAGAGCAAAATGGAGCTGAAAAGCTCATTCCTGAGGTCGGCCTTTGAAGTGGAAAATCAAGAAACCTCAACCAGTTGTCAGGACTGAGCCAATTCCAAGAACAAGAATTCAATAATTGAAGGGAAGCTTAAGTCCCCTTGATAACAGATGCTGAAAATTCACCACAGAATATTCAGAATGTATTTATATGATGCTTTCTCAAAGACCTGCAGCCATTTCCTAGATAAACAGTACCCAGAGGAAAGGACACACATCCATACCATCTGAGACTTTTAGGTATAGGGCTTTTACAGTACGTAGTTAGTCAGGCATGAGTGGGGCAGAAGAGGGCTCCCACCACCCACAAGGAATGTCAGGTGGCCATCAGCTGATGCCCTGGCAGTTGACACCCTGCCTCTCTAAAAATAATAATTGGTCACAGGCGCCAGGGAGAGGCAATTTCACAATAAATAAAAACGCTTAAAATTGGTAGTCAGCAGCTCAGGAATAGGGTGAGTAGGCTAAGGCATGCGTGTTAAGAGAGAAAATGGTGGAATATGACCTTCTGTGGGCATTCCACCAAAAAAGGGAAGAATGCCTCAGGCAAGCATGTGTACAACTCCAGTAAACACACTGCGCATGCTCACCTCCAAAGTGTTAGCAGGCTACCACACATGTGAGCAGCCCACCCTAAGGGGCTGAATCATGGGAAAAGGAACACAAGACCCCAGAAGTATACCAACATATAAAACCACAAGTCAAAGATCTAACACTGCACTTGATCTCCAAAGTGCCCGCTGTGGTCTCTTCCAAGTGTCTTCCAAGAGACTTCCAATAAAGTCTCTTCCTTTCTTTCCTGCTCTCTTTTTAATAAACTTCCATTCCTGCTCAGAAACTTCCTTCAGTCTCTTCTTACTTATGCCCCTCAGTTGAATTCCTTCCTCTGGGGAGGCAAGACTTGACGTTGCTGCAGACTCGTATGAAATTGCCACCAGTAAACCAGATATTGGCCACCCCAGCAGAGCCTGAACTAACACTAATTATCTAGGTACCCAAAAGACACTGTGGTCCATGAGATGGAGTAGGAGATTTTCTTTTTAATTTTCTTTTGTTTTCTGTGTTATTTGCGTTGGCTTTTTCAGAGAGACAGTCTCAATCTGTCACCCAGGCTGTATCTAGTACAGTGGCATGATCATTACTCACTACAGCCTTGAATTCCAGGGTTTGTAACAGATTGCCCCATTTTTTTCTAAGAAAAAGAGAATGAATTATGATTTTTATTATTATTTTCTCTTCTCTCCCCTTTCCCTTTGTTCCCTGTATCCTGCTTAGCCATTCATAAATGCAAATAGAACCTTTCACCCCCACTCACTAGACATTCCCTGCAGGGCACATTTTTCTAACTATGTGCTCCGAGACCAATCTCTCCTGAGAACTGACAGTCAATTTGCAGACCAAACACACCCACCACAGAATTTTTACCTCCAGGAAGTGGACCAGGAAATTCCAGGCTCTGCTCCACTCTAGGAATTACCTAAGGACTTTCATCCAACAGGAGGGCATATGGAAAGCATACCTACTTGGCCACTTTTATAATGTATTTCTGCAAAGGCAGGTGCCAATTCAACTATCTGGTAGTGCAGGGGTTCAGTCAGAATGGTAGGGAAAATTATAAAATAAAAAAAAGACCTTCTTGGAAGACCAAAAGTTTTTGCATAACTTCAGATAGTTTGGCTGAAGGCAGCCAGTCTCTTTGCCAGAGCCAGAGCACTTTGGGCACAGACACAAAGGAATGTAGAGTAGTTTATCTAAAGAGCTTGTTTACTCAGGTAGTCCTAAAGCTAACCTTTCATCACTCACAGGCAGGATTGCTCTCCTGGGGGAAGGTGACAGAGTTGATTACCCTCTAATGGTGTTGACTCAAAGTTTTTGTCATTTAATGTGTTCTAAATAAATGCCAAGAAGGCCAGCAAGTTGGGGCGGCAGCTGACAGCACTCTTCCTTAGAGTCTGTTAAGTGGCCCGGATGCTCGGCTGGACTGACAAGCAAAACATACATGTCGGTGTATGTTATTCCTCTGTCATTGAGTCAGGGTCTGCTGGACAGACCCCTGCATGGTAGAAAAGGCACCAAGCTTGCAGGAGGACCCTCTACCCTTGCTCAATAACCCCCCTTACCTTATAAAAGTGTCTGCTTTCTGCTCCAAAGGTGAAGTGGTACACTTAAAGGCAGGACTCTTTGTGCCCCTTCCCCAAGCTAGGTTTGAAATAAATTCATTACTTTTGAACCAGGCCTCACTCTTTTTAACTGGATTCTGGATGCCACCAGCAACTGACTCGCATATTGTTTTCAGGTTCAAGGGAGTATCCTGCCTCATCCTTCTGTGTAACTGGGACTACAGGTGAGCACCACCATGCCAAACTAATTTTTGTTGTTGTTTTTTCTTTTTTTAGTTTTTGTAGAGACAAGCTCTCACCATGTAGCCCAGGGTGGTCTGGAACTCCTGGCCTCAATAGATATTCCCAACTGTGCCTACCAAAGTTCCGGGATTGCAAGCAAGAGCCATCATACCAAGCCTGCACTGGGAGTTTTTGAAGGTCAGATGCTACCTAGATTTTTGACTCATGTACATCCCAAGGTGGATCTAATCAGTTTGCTGTTATTACCTCTTCCTGAACATGTAATTGAAATGGACAAACATGGCAGCTGGCAGGACTCTCACCTTCTTCCTGACCTGCAGAGTAAGGGACACTATTAGAGCAGGACCAAGGCGAAGCCTGCGAAATTCTCCTCCACTGGCAACAAGGATTGAAAAATAATAATCACATTCTCCAAGGAATGGAATTGATCACTACCATGACAAAACACTTGAAAGTTACAGGGGATGGTAGTCTTTTTACATCCCTCTCCACTTAACCTAAATGGCCTCTACCAAAATCAGATACATTATAAAATGAGGGCAGAGTTCCATAAATTTAAATCACTACTTACAAATGCTCTCTAGGATGTGGTATCTTCCCTGAGCAGAGCAGAGCTTCTGGCACTTTGCATGTGGCTCTCGATTAAGTGAATATTTCTTGTTTTTCACCCACGGGTGGGTCGGGAGATTAAAACAGTTGGCCTTTGTTTGGTAAGAACGAAAGTGCTGCTTCACTGTTTTATGTCAGGGCGATGTCACTTCTGCTCTCAGTTTAATTTACATTTTGCAAAACATCATGTTAATTTATTAATAATGTTACAGTAATTGGTGCAATAACCAGGAAATGGAAAGGTCCCTAAATATAGTAAAATACTTGAACGTTAAATAGAAATAAAATACTAGCAGAAAGAGATACACCTGATAATATTTGGAAACCTGCAACATAGATATTGTTTTTAAGGTCTCATATTCCTGGTCTACATGTCGAAAAATCCATTTATTTATTTATATATTTATTTTTGAGACAGAGTCTTGCTCTGTTGCCCAGGCTAGAGTGCACTGGTGCCATCTCGGCTCACTGCAAACTTCGCCTCCTGGGTTCAATCAGTTCAAATCCTTCAGCCTCCTTACTAGCTGTATTTACAGCCATGTGCTACCATGCCTGGCAATTTTTTTTTTTTTTAAAGTAGAGACCTGGTTTCACCATGTTAGCCAGGCTGGTCTCAAACTCATGGCCTCAAGTGATCTGCCCACCTTGGCCTCCCAAAGTGCTGGGATTACAGGGGTGAGCCACCATGCCCAGCAGAAACATCCTTTTTAAAGTAAGTGGCCTGTTGCCCTATAAATACTTCTTATCACTAAAAGAGAAGCACAGTGTTTATTGACTCTCTTGGGGTTTTGGAGTCCACAAATACCACAATAGAGGATATTGCTCTGACTTGTTAATAAAGTCCTTTTTAAATCCCTGTTCAGTTAACCTACCTAGCCTCTGCCAAAACCAGATGGGTTACAGAATGAATGCAAAGACTAGTGGTTTCAAGTGGAATCCAGAACATAAGATATCTCTACAGCAGGTATAGGCTGTGGCCCAACCTGCTCTGCCCATTGAGTCAGATGATCCAGCAGAATTCAAAGCTGCTAGAGGCATGCATCGTGGGCATTATAGGACTCTGTGCCTGTCTCCATCAAGCCCGTAGGAGAGGAGAAAGCAAACCCCTAGGGAATTACTGCAGAACTATTCCCTCTTCAGCGGAGGAGTATCTGCTGTCTGAAAAATAAAAATGCAAGTGCAGAACATTAATCCAAGCAAAAAGCCCCTCAAGCACAAGACTGCGTGCAACTACACAAGGCATCTGCTTATAAAACCAGCCACAGTTGGAGGGCATGAGCACATCTGAGTGGCACAAGGAGGGGACTATATTGGACACAAACATGTGCTTCCTCAGATTCCCTTGACTCTCTCCTGTTCCCATGGTCAGCACCTTGCCTGATCCAGATCACCTTTCCATCTGGGACTTGAATGTATCTGTGGGCATGAAGTCTTGTAACAGAAAAGCTTAGTTGCTCACTTCATGTAAAGTCTAATTAAAAAGAGCACAGTCTGATACAAAAATAGAGAACTTATTTGGAGATTAGTTTTGGGGAAGGAGCATAAAGCATCCTGCCTTCTAATGTGACACTTCACCTTTGGAGCAGAAAGTGGACATTTTTATAAAGTAGGGAGGGAAATGAGCAGGACAGCAGTTGTAAAAGTGGCCACCTGAGCATCCTCTCCACATCCCCTCCTAATGGGTGTGAGGTCTAAGGGGAACCGCTGGAGGTGAGAGTTCCATGAGGGCATACTTTTGTCTGCAAATCAACTGTCAAGTCTCAAGGAGAGATCCCTCTTGGAGCACATAGTTAGATGAACTTGCCCGAAGGGACTGTCTGGTGAGGGGATAGTAAACAGTTTTGTGCATTTCTAAAAAGTTAAGTAGAAAGTGGGAAACATAGGGAAAGGGGCGAGGAAAAGAGACAAAAAATTAAAAAAAAAACAAAACAAGTATCTCTTAGAAAAATGGGGGTATTGGTTAGTCTGACTTTCCCAAACAGCCACCAAGGGGTTGGATAATGTAAGGAAGAAAAGCAAAGATGGTAGTTCTGCCACAAAATAACTTTGGCCAAAGGTAAATAGAAAACAAAAGACAGCTAGGATACATTCTCCCTTTTCTCTCTTCCATGGACTAATATTTGCTGTGGTTTCCCCTTGTAACCCTTCTGGAAAAGTACCGGGAGCCAAGTGCATGTATCTGATGATCACCATGCTGTCTGTCTCACCTCATTGTGAAGTGACAACGGCAAAGTCATGTCAACATCATGATACATGGTTTTACATCTTCTTTTGCCTCAGTTTCCACATTTACCCCTCATTGCTACCCTGGACTTGCCTTCCCAAATAAATGTCATCACTGTAAACTCAGACACTGGCTCTAGTTCTAGACACCCAAAGCTAAGATATACATTCAGTTGCATCACTTTTCCATGCATTTATAATATGGCAATTAAAACATTCATTTAGAAAGGATACTAAAATATATATATAAATAATGTGTAAGAAAGGTGACTCGTTACTAACTCAATTTTTAAAAGCGAAATGCCATCTTTGTGTATATAGTAACCAGCTAGAAAATATCATAATACAAATATATCATTCACAGTAGAAAGTGATTGGGTACATTTACAAACAGCTTAACCAGTTGCAAAGTTTGCTAGCTTTTTTTTTTTTTCATTTCTTTTGTGTTCACTTCTTTTGTATCAGCAAAGCATTGAAGGCAGCATAAGTCATACTGAGGGAGAAAGAGATGTTCCCTAAAAACAAGAGTGTGTTTGGCAGCTGCTGGGAAGTTCCCTAACATTCTTGTGATGGGGTCTGCTAACCCCGAGCAGCTGGCACTCACAGCTGAACCTGGCCCTGTGCAAATATACCAGAATCCTTTATATGCTTTTCAAAAAGTATTACAATAAGTGCCATCTAATTTTGACATTCCACCTTGTCTCTACTTCACACACCTGATATAGCTGCATCAAAGCTATATTACAGTGATACTTCCCCTAGAATTGGGGAATAGCCAAACTTTTGCTCTGAGAAATGCTTCTTCTTTGATAAGCCTATAACCTCAACCTGAAACTAGAAAATTCAAGCAACTGCAGATTTTGTCAAGAGTTTCGTTTTCACTGGTTTACCACATCAAATTATCCATTTATCCAACCACTAATGTGTTCATTAACGTATCATTTTTGACCAACTATTCTTTGTGCTGGCTTTTAGATCCCGTGAGTCCAGACAAAGCAAGACAGATATGACCTCTCTTTTTATGGTGATTACATTGTACTAGGGAAGATGCATGATAAATAAAATGTGTGTGTATATATATATCAGATGTGGATCTGATACATATATATGTGGATGTAATATATATATATATATCAGATGAGGAGTTGACTTATTTTAAGTTTTACATAACAATGTTAAAATCTCATAACACCAAGAATTAACACAGTCATGCAGAATTTAGCTGTTCAGCAAGGCTGTACATTTCCTTCTTATAATAGAACTTGGTATCAATGGATACATCAACACACTTTGTGTCATTTCACCATTTACACCATTATAATAAAACATATCATTAATACATTTCCTATCATCAATATATAGATTTCACAGATAATTTTTAACATTTAACGAAAGTTTAACATTTAACATTTGAAGAAAGTTTCATTTGATTATCATCTATAGTTTCTATACTCTCTTTGGGACTTTTTTTAAGATAGAGAATATTTGAGTTTTTTTGAGGAATATTAGGAATGGGAGACAAAGGAGAAAATTGGAAATTCAGGAGCTCAGAGGTGGCTAAGAAAATAAATGGAAATACTTGACATCAGATGTCAACTTCACAAAAGGTTTCCTTTAATTCAAAAAGTGGAATAAGTGACTTTTCTAACTACACATAAAAAATTATAACAGCACTGAAAGGATCATGATCATGTTTTTTCATTCCTATTATAGAAATGATTTTTATTCTAGGCTATGCACATACTTGTATTAAATTTAGTATTCTTTAGTACTGTTTTTGGTATATATAAATAAAACTTACTCTACATATCTTTGTCACTAAAATTTTATTGTGTGCATCATTAGCTAACAATTCTATTTGCTTTCTACCAAACGTAAAATAAGAATTCCTAATGAAATAAAACCTACCCCAAAGATACATTCTCATCATTGATTTAATATTAAACTTCTTTACCATCCAAACAATTAGGGGTTCACCAATGATAGTTAAGTACATATATGTGATACAAATTGCAATGGAAAACAGCAATAATTTCCTGATAAAAGCTGTAAGATCCTAATTTTAAAAAGAGAAAATAAAATCTTCAAATGAAATATTATACAATGAACTATAAGAAAATATACATACATTGTATATGTGAAATATACTCAGCTTCATAGTTTATGGTCAATGTTGTTATTTATACACATGCACACATATACAACCATATATATATGTAAGACTTTTATAGATATCTATTCTGAAATTACTCAAATACATACACTATGGAAAAACTGATAGAAATATAAAATGTTCAAGACATCATCAGTTTGTTTTCTGCTAGAAGACACACGATGCACCCCTTGTGAATCTATGGAGTTGAGGGTTGCTGTCCTTTCACTAAGCATGTGACCTGACATAAAACTGAAAGAAACGTCTGTTTTAGTTTCCTGCTTCCCATAATCAGGAAGAATGAGTGGAATGAAGGATACATGATTCCAAGAGTTTGGCAAAGCAGGAATACAAGTTTGTTCTGCTGTGTTCAAAGATTCCAGGTTAATGTGATTAGATACAGAAAGTAAATGGCATATAACATGAGGAAGGAGATCACAGTTTGCAAAGCTTTTATGTGGACCTTGGTGCTGAGATCTTGAGATCCTTTGCCATGGAGCTGCATCTTCTTGAGATGTTTATGCAGAGAACAGATTAACAGCAGAAAACATATTAGGGTCAGAATGAAGGGTATGAGGTTTGCTAGTGTGCTTACAGTCAAGTTTGAAAGGTGTATTGCATTCCTCAATTTGATCTTCCAAGTCACATTTCCTTCATATTCTTTTGTCCACACACTGTCATCCATGGTTATCACAGCAAGATTACAAATCAAAAATACCAAGGGACCCAACAGTATCACCAGAACAACACTCCTAATTCTCTTCTTTAGGTGGAGAAAAATAAGGTTGGAGAAATTGGCAATCTTGAGCAAATAAAATATGCTGAGGCTAGCAGCAAGCCAGATGCTGAAATGGTTGATTATTGCTGAGATATTAGAAGCAACAGCTCCTACTTCTGAACTATATAAAGCTGAATTAAACACATTTGCATACCAATGTAATAATATGACCCAGAGTAAACCAATTCTGGAGACCACCAGAGCAGTGAGGATTTGGTCAGCTGAGGAGATCTTTCGTGTCTTAACCCAGTCAATGACATTTACTAGAGCTATGAAGCCATTGGAAAAATTTCCAAGAACAAATGCAAACACTACCAGAATTGATAAAATGATGAGCAGAAAATATACCATGTTTGAACAGACAAAAAGAAAAAAATTGCAGTCTTAATAACACTGGTTCTGATACCCTTAATATCCAAACATTAACTTCGATAAACACTTGATTACTAAATGTGCAATAACATTTTCTGCCTTTAAATTCTGTGACTAATGTCAACAGGAAAGCACCAGCCTATGCTAATGGATGAGTTCAAAGCTGTCTTCATAGAAATAGAAAATATTGTTATTCTCAAAACAGCTCAGATTCACTCCTCTTCATATACTATCTGTCCCTGCTACATGCTGAATTTTTTTATACTCATGTTGAAGTGAAAAGTGAATTTTCATGTGTTAGTATGCAAATAAAGCCATATTCTTTGTCATTGTTTTGCAATTTTTTTCCTTGTTTAACCTCTCCATAATTTGAATCCAGCATCTTCAGTTGTTTCTTAGGGAAATTTTAAAACCAAATACATATATCATACAGTAAATGTCTAAATTGTTAAAGGAGCTTGGTCATAACTAGGATCACACCAATATGGATTTATTTTTATGCCAGATTTAAATACCAGATTCTAAACCTTTTATCAGAATCATCCAAGGTTATCTTGGAAAGCCCTGGGAGGCCGATACACCTGAAAATCTGGTTTCTGATAACCAATAAATTGATATGACATCATTGTTAATAAGCTCCTAAACACATAGACACACATGCACTCACACCTTTAGGGGATGGAAGGAATTATTTTCTTATAATTCCCCAAATGGAAAATGAGTTTCCAGGAGGTCATCCAGGTGGAATTACTCGTATTCCACTCAGGGTTGTCAGACAATGAATAATATTTATCAAACATGTTTCTCATGCTTAGGCCATTGATAAATTTAGTCTCAAGTCTGTTTTTTGTTTAAATATTAATTATGTAATTAAAATATTCAGCAATTTTGTAAATATTTCGAAGTGCCCTACACTTTTTCATATAATCCTGCAGCACCCTCCCACCACAGGCAGGGTGACTACCTTGACCATTGACTCTGAATTCACTCATGTAATTTGCTTCAGTGAACAGCAAACTAGTAGACTTTACGCAGAGATTTAAGACGGCTTCCATACTGGAGTTTCTTGCTCTTTTCCATTTACCGTGAGGACATCATCTGGCCAATAACTGTTCCCATAAGAAGAATGAGAAACTAATGGAGTCAGAATGCCACTGCCTTATCTACACTAAATCAGCCAAACTAGCTTCAAGATGCAGTACATGGCCCGTCTCCAGTCACCAGAGCCATCCACCAAATCTAGCTTAGAAAAATGAAATTCAAAGACATATGAGACACAAATATCTAAAGCAGTTTTGGAGGATTTTCTCTTGCAGAAAAACCTAAGTGATAAAGGCACTCTGCTAAACCAAGAGTATGGGAAACATGTCCACCCTTGTTGTGTCAGGAATTCAGGATTCAAGGGAAAAATAGACAGAGAATGTCAAAGTTTTGTCACATGAAGTGGATAATTAAACCTAAAAGAAAAACCTATTGAAAAATCTGGGATTGGCAGGTAACATCATGTCAAGTTTCAGAAAGGTGCAACTAAAATCAGAAAGTTTCTACTTAAAATCGCTTAGAGTTATACATAAATGTATAAAAATAGTGAATTTTTCCCTTCGGTATATAATGAGCAGAGTAATAATAATTTTCATGGAATCTTTCTCCTGATTAATAATTTTTATATTATAACTAGACTGCACACTTAGAAATGAGCCAAAACAAAAATGGAAAACATAGCAATGTGTCATAAACACTCATGTAACCTTCATGTAGGGCAAGACATGGAACATTGCTAAAAGCCTAGGTTTACCTCAATGCCACTTTCCATTTCCCCTATACCTTTCTTCATATCTCCTGTGATAAGCAACATCCATAATTTATGATCATCTTTTTTTAAATTTTCTTTTTACTTTACCAACAAGCTATGCAACCCTAAACTCAATAGCTTGGTTTGGCCCACTTTGAAATGTTTATAGGTGCAATCCTATATGTTCTTATTCATGGCTTCCTGGAATCAATATTATGTATATGAAATTTAACCCCACAGTTGCATGTACATGTGATCCACTTCTTTTCGCTTCTGTATAACTTTTCATTTTATGATTTTACTGTAATTATTTATCCATCCTTATTTGATATATATTTAGGCAGCTTGTTTTTGAGCTATTATGAATAATGCTACAATGAGCATTCTTTCACATATCATTTGCTACAATTCTTATGCATATATATACCTGGGTGTGAAATTACAGGGTCCTTGATAAACGTTCACATTCTCCTCACAGACATAAAAAAGCCAAAAACATAGTTTGACTAAATTTATTTCTGTCACCTTTATCTCCAGTCTCTTTATTGCTATTTGCATATATCTTATCGATTATACATTCAATCCAGGAAGACACTATTTTATACAGTCAACATTTATTTAGAATTACACACTTATTTTTCATTGTCATTAATTTTTATTGCTCCTTGCATGTTCAACTTTGTATTTTCAGTAATTTTATTTTATCTGAAAAATATCATTTTCAATTTCTGTTTTTGAAGGTCTACTACTCTTTGGAAACACACTGAAGACATGATTCCCATGATTCCATTGCATTCCTGCTTCCATATTTTCTGTTAAAATCAGGTTGTATTCAGAATGCAGTTCTTTTCAACATACTCTATCTTCAACCTCTAGCTACTTTTCAGATTTTCTATTGGTCTTTTGTGTCCTGTATTATTTTATGTTAATTTGATTTAAGTCATCATGCCTGAAGTTTGAGATTACAAAAAATACATGGAGGCATACATTTTATCACTTTTGGAAAACTCCTTGCAACATTTTGTTGCTCTATTTTCTCCCCTCTACTGTTACAGAACTCCAGAAGTATGTTAGGTGTTGTGACTGTAGCCTCAATGTGTTACCCTCTAGCTTTGTATATTTCCATCTCTTTCTCTCTGTGCTTCATTCTGTGTAGCTATCTTCTAATTCACTTATTCTCTCTTCTACTGCATCTAACTGGTTAACTCTGTCTATTGGATTCTCAATATTGATAATTCATTTTTTTCAGTCTTATTCTTTTAGTGTTCAGAATAATCTTTTATTCTCCTTCCATAAATCATTTTCTAGGGAGAAACTGAACAAACTACTCTTAACACCATGTTCTTTTTAAAAGCATTTTTGAGTTTTGGGTTTTTGGCTTTTTGTTTTAGTATGTTAGAAAAGAAAATGGTAGTGGTTTTCTTCATTTCCCAATAGTTTGCTGAGAGAATAGAATAAAAGCTTTGTTCTGGAATTTACCTTCAATTTGAAAGAAACTAGAAATTAAGTTGATGTGAGTAGCTTTTTTTGGATATTAGCTTGTCTGTTGCTGGGTCATCACCACAAACTCTGCTAACAGGCAAACTCAATGACCAGAACTACCTCTCAAAATATCATTGCAATAGATAAAATATATTTCACCAACCACAGCTACGTTGTTGTATTCAAAGAATTAATTTTCATTTTGCTTATGTTGTAGAAATGGGGCTCTGTGCCTTTAAATTTCATCATTACCTAAGTGAAATAGAGAAGATATGGGGGAGGGGTTACTTCTCTTTGATTTATTTAGCCCTAACATCCTTACTTTATAAATAAGAGCTTGATCATGAAATGGTTTATTTATTTTTCCTATTAAGCAATTTTATTTATACTAAAATCAAAATCTTTTCATAGTGTTACATGGATTAGTTTAATATAATTTATAATTGTTTCCTTAAGCATTGTATTTTAAACTACACTACACTTAACTTTCTAAATCTAAATGTATTCAGCCTGACTTGAACTTTGCTGTTTACTAATATAACTTTCCTACAATGATATCTCTTAGAAATTATGCAGACATTAACCAAATTATGTATGTAAATATTTCAAAAATAAATCATTTAATAAGACAGATGTAAATGTAGATGATGATAATGATGATGTCAGCTAAAAGGTAGAATGTTATTTAATAAATGTGATTTTGGTTTTCTTTTAAAAGCATTAGAGTTAAGGTTGGTGGGAGAACACTATTATTCTTCCTCATAGATACACAATTTTTTTTTTCGAGATGGAAATTCTCTCTTGTCACCCAGTCTGGAGTTCAATGGCACAATCTTGGCTCACGGCAACAGCTGCCTCCCTGGTTCAATCGATTCTCCTGCCTCAGCCTCCCAAGTATCTGAGATTACAGGTGGCTGCAACCACACCCAGCAATTTTTTTTTATTTTTTGTAGAGATGGGGTTTCATCATGTTGGCCAGGCTGGTCTGGAACTCTTGACCTCAGGTGATCGGCCAGCCTTGGCCTCCTAGAGTGCTGGGATTACAGACATGAGCCACTTTGCCCAGCATAATTCCGATATTATTCTCAGAATCAGGCCTTGACAAATACCCTCAACTAGCATTTCATCAAGAATAACATAAAACCAACATATTTCCAGTGATTTACTTGCTATTTTTTTCTTCTATTGCATTCTAAAAATTATGCCAAAAGTGACCTCCAGCAAAGAATACTCTTGTTCTGGCTGTTTAATTTTGTTCCACTTCCATATGAACTTACACAAATACTCTGTGCAATTATGAAGTGTATAAGCTTCATTTCATCTTTTAATAGCATCACTAACAAGTTAAATTCTCTCAACTGCTTAATTTCATTCTCAGCTATGGTCACAAAATCTGGGTGATTTTATTATAGCAGTCAAAGTAGTTACACTACATATGTTTTAAGGCTTAACAAAATTATCTTTCTATGAATTTTTCTTGAATATTCAAAAAATTTGTAATATCAAAATATTTTTTCACACATGTGTACACATGCATGGTATTAAAATCTTTGAATGGTAAAAAATGTGTATAATTATTTTATTTAGGGATAAATTTAGAAAAATTGTCATGTATATTTAATGTCTGTATAACTATAATTTATTGGAAATTCACTACTTTCTGCAACTTTGAAATGTTATCATAAATAATTAAATTGGAAAGAAGAAAAAAGGTGTCTAGCAAAATACAGATGCTCAAAATCTGATGTTTCAAGGTAAGAATAACATTAAGAAAGTGGAGGTAGACTTCCTGCTTACCTCTTCCTTTTTTAAATTAAAGAAAAGTTTAAAATTTTTCTTGGATTTCTTACTATCATAATGCTGTATTCTTCTTTATTCAGCAAAAATTCTAATTACAATGATGTCTATAAGAATATGTTTTTTCAGCCTATTTTACATTCATTCATTTAGTGTATGTTTCTACTTTTTAAATATTTTTATTATTGTGAAACATAACATACATATATATATAAAGTAATAAGGTCTAAATGTACAGTAAAGAAAAAACTTATAGCATTAAGAGTCATGATTCCACATCATGGTCATAAAGTAGAATTCACCAGCAATCCAGACACTCTCCATATACGCCTTCTTGTTGATAACATTTCCCTTTTGTTTCCTCCATCCCTACCATCCCAATTGTTATGATAATCATTCATATGTCTCACTTTAGAATTTCACCACCAGTGTAATAAATTTCAATTTATTAAAAATATATTTTTGTAAACTTTATATAAGTGGAATTATACTGAATCATTTTTCAAACCTAATAATTCCTCTCATATCTATGAAGTTCAAATTTGTTCATTTTCCTTTTTATTTATGTTCTTTGTAAACATGTTGCTCTAGTTGGTTCTGCTGGGACAATTAAGTTCCCTTCAAAGACTCAACCTTCTGGCCAACAGTTGCAAATGTTGTAAATCAATCCTACCTCACACCCCTCCTTCTTTTTGCAAATCCTGCATTTACCCTATTTGGAAAAGTTTAAGTCTTAGCCAATCAGGATCAGTTTAGATAGCACGGTCCAACCCCAGCCAACAGGAGAAGGACACAGAAACAGGAACTGTGTTAGGATTAAAAACTCCTTCCCTCCTTTGTTCCGTGGGCTCTTGGGATTGTAACGGGCACAAGCAGCACCCTTCTGCACCCTTCTGCCAAAGTAAAGATGCCTTGCTGAGAAATTTTCTGTCGAAGTGTTGGTTTCTTTTGTCTACTCTGAGCACTTGCTTCCAACAGTTCATTTTGATTGCTGTATAGTATACTATTGTACAAGTATGCCATAATTTACTTATCCATTTAATCACTGATGGACATTTGATAGACTTCTCAACTTAGCTATTAAAACTCAGTGATATGCATGTGTGTCTATATGTATTCTGATAAGGATACAAATACTGGGTCTTCAGATGTGATCCATCATCTTAATCAGATAATGCCATACTCAGACAAACTAACTGCTCTGATTTACAATTCTAGGAGCAGTGTATGAAAATTCCCATTACTTCATAAGCTTTCCAAAATAAGTAACATCAGAATAATTTTTACCTTTAATATTTATATGAAACATTATTAAACCTAACATTTTATAAGCCTTTTTCTATTATGTTTCAGAATGTATTCTTAATTCAAAAATTGTTACTCTTTTTAAATTCCATGACCATGACTTCATGCACATTTATTAATAATGAATTACATATTTCATTTATTTATTTATTTATTTATTCATATTCTTTTTTCTTTTCTTTTCTTTTTTGGAGACAGAGTCTTGCTCTGTTGCCCAGGCTGGAGTGCAGTGGCATGATCTTGGCTCACTGCAAGCTCTGCCTCCCAGAATCACGCCATTCTCCTGCATCAGCCTCCTGAATACTTGGGATTACAGGGGCCTGCCATCACACCCAGCTAATTTTTTTTTTCTTGGTATTTTTTGTAGAGACAGGGTTTCACCGTGTTAGCCAGGATGGTCTTGATGTCCTGACCTCGTGATCCACCCACCTTGGCCTCCCGAAGTGCTGGGATTACAGCTATCAGCCACGACACCCAACCCTTATTCATATTCTTTATTACTTTTCCTAATATTTTTCTTCAAGTTTTAAATACTGTTTTGTTATGAACAAGTATAATTATGCTAGACATATTTCCTTTAACCAATCATTATGTCAAATGACTTTGAGAAATATGATTTGTTAACAGCATACTGTAAGGCAAATTTCAGCATTGTTTAACAACTCCTTAAAAGGACTCAAAGAAAATAATATGTTGAAATATCAAAATAGTCTTTAAGTACAATGAAGGTGCCCATGGGAAAATACAAATTCTACCATTACTGTTATGGAAAAAAATGGTTAGTAGTAAACATACCATGTCTGAATTTTTTTAAGGCAGGCCTAATATCAAGGCCTAATGGACAAGATTCCCTTTAAGGTCCTGACCTTAATTTCTATGTGTACCTGATTTCTGATTGTGCAGTAATGTTCTGGTTCCTTTTAAATTCTCTGACTAATGTCAAAACGGAAAGCACCGGGGCATGCTATTGAATGAGTTCAGGGCTGACTTAACGGAAAATATGATAATTTCCAAAACAGCTGAAACTGACTCATATTCAAATACTATGTCCTTGTTATAAAATGTTTCATACTGATGTTGAAGTGATACCTGAATTCTCAATTCCAGGCATACAAATCAAGTCATATTCTTATTCATCATTTTGAAATTTTTTCCTTGTTTAACCTGTCTATAATTTGTGTTCAGCAATGTCGGTTGTTAGGGAAATTTTCCAAACTAATACATAGATCATACATTGGATGCCTGCACTGTTATATGTAGCTTGGTCAAAACTAGAGTCATGACCACTGTTGATTCATTTTTTCAATGCCAGGTTTATGGAAAGTGAATCCTAAATTTTCCTACTAAAAGCATCCAAGGTTTTCTTTGGAAGCCCAGGAAGGCCAATATTCCTTAAAATCTGGTTGCTGTTAACTAATAGTTTTGTATAACTTATTGTTAACAAGCTCATTAACATAAACACATTCCCCCCCCACACACACACACCCCTCATGGTTGAGTAAATTATTGTCCTATAATTTCTAAAATGAAAAATTAATTTTCTTACTTGGGCTTTTCAGCGCATTTTCAATGTTTATCAAGCTTAATGTCTCATGCTTAGGCCTTTGACTAAGTTTTTCTCTTGAGTCTAATACTTAAATCTTAGTTATTTAATGAAAATATTCAGCAATTTTATAACTATTCCTCGGACACTTAAAAAACGTGTTCCATTGAAGAGTCTACACTTCTCTGTGTATGAATATTCAGGTTTATTTTTCCCTATTTAATTTATTTTTGATTATGAAATGGTTTAAAATAGATGTTAAAATCAGTCTCCAATCTTGGATTTTATTTCTTTTCAGTTTTTATAGTATAATGGTTTCTAAGAGGGGATCTTGAAGTCAGACTGCCAAGACAGGAAACCAGATTCCCTGCTTCATATAACTATGATGTGAGACTCCATTTTACAACTACTGCCTGCCTCAGTATAATTACCTATAAAAAGGAGACGATAGGCCGGGTGCGGTGGCTCAGGCCTGTAATCCCAGCACTTTGGGAGGCTGAGGCAGGTGCATCACCTGAGGTCAGGAGTTTGAAACCAGCATGGCCAACACGGTGAAACCCTGTCTCCACTAAAAATACAAAAAGTAGCCAGGTGTGGTGGCACATGCATAAAATCCCAGCTACTCAGGTGGCTGTGGCAGAAAAATCATTGGAACCCAGGAGTGGGGGGTTGTAGTTAGTTGAGATCATGCCACTCCACTCCAGTGGGGAGACCGTGCAAACTCCATCTCAAAAACACCACCACCACCAACAAAGGGCGATGAAAATACAACTGTCTTTGGTTAATTTTGTTAGGAGTTAATATACTATTTGTATTACTACTTTCAAGTTTACCTCTTATAGGCAGGAACCAAAGATTGTTCATTATCGATTCGATACTGTTTTACTTGATATTTAAGATACCAGTGAGAACTTAAACTTGTTTTTTTTTTTTCTTCTGAGACACAGTCTCCCTCTGTTACCCAAGCTGGAGTACAGTGGCACAATCATAGCCCACTGCAGCCTTGAACTCCTGGGCTCAAGCAATCCTCCTGCCTCAGCTTCCCAAGTATTTGGGACTATAGGCATGCACCAACATGCCAGCTAATTTTTTAAATTTTTTGTAGAGATGGAGTTTCCATATGTTGCAAAGGGAACTCCTGCTCTCAAGGGGTCCTCCCACCTTGGCCTCCCAAAGTAGTAGGACTACAGGCATGAGCCATGACATCCAGCCTGCATTGAGAGTTTCTGAAGGTCAGATGCTACCTAGAGCTTTGGCTCATGTCCATCCCAAGGTGGAGCTAATCAGTTTGTAGTTATTACCTCTTCCTGAAAGTGTAACTGAAATGGATATGCATGGCAGCTGGCAGGACACTCACATTATTCGTGAACTGTGGAGTAAGGGACATTATTATAGCAGGACCAAAGGGAAGCCTCTGAAATTCTCCTCTACTGGCAACACAATGTACAAAATATAATAACAGCATTCCCTAAGGAATGGAACTGGTCACTGCCATGACAAAACACTTGCAAGTTACAGGGGATGGTAGTCCTTTCTATAACCTGATTCACTTAACCTATCTGGCCTCTACCAAAACCAGATGGATTACAGAATCAATGCAGACTACCATGAACTTAAATAAACACTCACAAATGCTTTCCAGGATGTGCTGTCTTCACTAAGCAGAGCAGAGCTTCTGGTACTTTTTACCGGGCTTGTGATTTGGTGAATGGTTCTTAATCTACACCCATTATGAGGAAAAATCAAAACAATTTGCCTCGTTTTATAATAATAATAACACTGTCACTGTTTTATATCATGGCTATGTCACTTCTGTTCTCAGTTTAATTTACATTTTTTAAAACATCGTGATTATTTAATATATTAATAATATTACAGACCAGGCCCTGTGGCACATGACTGTAATGCCATCATTTTAGGAGGCCGACACGGGAAGATCATTTGAGCCCAGGAGTTTGAGACCAGCCTGGGTAACACGGTGAAATCCTAGCCCTACAGAAAATACAAAAATTAGCCAGGCGTGATGTTGTGCCCCTGCAGTCCCAGCTGCTAGCAATGCAGAGGTGGGGGAATCACTTGAGCCCAGAAGGTTGAGGCTGTAATGAGCTGTGATCCTGCCACTGAACTCCAGCCTCAGGGACAGAATGAGACCCTGTCTCAAAATAATAGCAATAATAATAATAATATATTACTTGGTACAATAATCAGGAAGTGGCAAGTTTCTTAACTATAGTAAAATACTCTAACGATGAATGGAAGTAAAATACCAGAAGAAAAGAAATCAACCTGAGAAGATTCAGGGACCTACAGCATAGGTGATGTTTTAAAGCATTCAGTGTCCCTAGACCACACGTTGAAACAATCTTTTTTACAGTATATGGCATGTTGCTCTCTCTATAAATTTCCTATCACTACAAAAGAGACCCAGTATTTTGGGGGCCTATTGGGATTTTGGAGACAACATATTCCACATTTGAGAATATAGCTCTGACTCATTAATGAAGTTTCCCAGGCTACTGGTCTCAAGCAGAATCCAGAACAAAAGAGGGCTCTACAGAAGATATGGACTCTGCTCCAAGCTGCTCTGGCCACTGTGCCAGATGATCCAGCAGGATTCAAAGATGCTAGAAACATACATAGTGGTCATTATAGGACTCTGTGCATGTCTCTGACAAGCCTGTAGGAGACAGGAGAGCAAATCCCTATGGAATTAGTGCAAGAACATTCCCTCTTCAGCAGAGGAGTATCCTCTGTGTGAAAAACAAAACAGCAAGTGGAGAACATTAATCCAAGCATAGAGTCCCTCTAAACACAAGTCCCTATAAGCACAAAACCCTATGCAACTGTGGACGTCATATGCTCATAAAGCCAGCCATGACTGGAGGGTATGAGCACGCCTCAGTGGCACAAGGAGTGATGGTATTGGACACAAACATGTGCTTTCTTAGATTCCCTTCACTATGTCCTATTCCCCTGGCTAGTACCTTGCCCGATCCAGGTCATCATTCCATTTGGGACTTGAATGCATCACCACACTGTGGGCATAAGGTATGACTTTCATGACCACCACCAAGGGACTGGATGATGGAAGACAGAACAACAGAGATGATAGTTCTGCCTCAAGGAAACCCTGACCAATAAGAAATAGAAGACTAATGACAGCCGAGCAGATACATTCTCCCTCCTCTCTCACTTCCACGGACTAATGCCAGCTGTGGTTTCCCCCTGTAGCCCTTCTGGAAAAAGTGCTGGAAGCCAAGTACACGCATCTGATGACCGTCATGCTGTCTCTCTCACCTCACTGTGAAGTGGCTGCCAGCAGAGCCATACCAGACATCACCACACATTGTTTCACATTTCTTCCTGTCTCAATTTCCACACGTCCTTGCCATTTTTGTCTTGAATTTGACTTCTAAATAAATGTTAGCACTTTAATAACAGGTATTACATTAAAAACATTTTGGTAAAGTAGCTGGTTACTAACTCAATTTTTTGAAATGAAATGCCATTTTATTTAAATAGTCAACTAGAAAATATCATAATACAAATATATAATTCACAATAGAAAAAAAATTCAAATAGACCAAAGTTGTTTATATGATTTTTCAAACTATTGTAATAGGTGCCATCTAATTTTGATGTTCTACCTTGTCTCCAACTCAGACACCTGATACAGCTGCATCAAGACTATATTATTGTGATATTTCCCCTAAAATTGTGGAATAGCCAAACTTTTCCTTAGAGGAAGGATTCTGCTTGGATAAGCCTGTAATCTTAACCTGAGACCGGAACAGGGGAATTCATGCAACTGCAGATTTTGTGATGAGTTTCCTTTTCATTGGTTTACCACATCAGCTTACCCATTTTAGCCACCCATTTATTTGTTCATTAAAGTATTAATGAACGTAATAGAATTTAGCTGTGAACAGGACTGTACATTTCTTTCTTATAATAGAACTTCCTATTAAAGAATATGTCAACACCCTTTCATTTCATCATTGATGACAAAATTACAAAGTTACGGCTCATCCCATAATTAATACATAGGGTTCACAGATACTATTTTAACATTTACAAAAAGTTTGACTGAAATATTTTCCACAATTTCTATACTATATTTACATTGATTTTATTTTTCAAAAAGAGAGGATTTGAGTTCTCTTATCTGAAGTTTAGAAGGAATTTTACAAACGGAAGGTAAGGATATAATTAGCAAATCAGGGGCTTAAAAGTGCTTTAGAAAGAATACTAAAATAATTTACATGAGATCTCAACTTCAAAAACAGATTTTCTTTAATTCAAAAGCGGAAGAAATGACGTTTCTAACTGCATATGCATAACTGATGATACCAATCAAGATCATGATCATGATGTTTCATCCCTTTATTAGAGAAGGAATTTTTTCCTAAGCTATTCACATATGAAATCTAATATTCCTCAGTACCGCTTATGGTAGACATACATTAAATTTACTCTGCATATGCTTCTCACTCAAATTCTATTGTGTGCATTGTTTTCTAACAATAATTCTCATTGCTTTTTACCAAACATAAAATAGAAATTCATAATGGAATAAAACACCGAGGATACATCCTCATTATTGATTTAGAATTGAATGACCTTACCATCCAATAAATTTGAGGTTCAAGCAATGAATTCTAAGCACAATGTGGTATATTCCTGTGGTTCAAATAACAATAGAAAAGAGCAATATTTTTCCGGGGATAAGCTCTTACTTCTTAATAATTATAAATAGACATTGCAAATTCTACAAATGAAATAAAAAATACATGAATGAAATAAACATGGCTTCAAAATTCTAAGAAGTTTTTGTCATATTTTGTATAATTTGGCAGTTTGTATGAAAAAACAGAAAAGAGCATGTTGTTGTCAATGTTAAGTTTTCATACACAAATACACACACACACACACACACACATATATATATATATATATATATATATATATATATATATATATATTTTCTAGACTGCCATTGGGTCAAAGACTTTTCTAGGTATACGTTTGGAAATTATTCATACACATACAGTATAGAAAAACCAGTAAGAAATATAAAATGTTTCATACACCACCAGTTTGTTTCCTGCTAGAAGATACACAATGCCCCTCTCGTGAATCTATGGAGATGAAGTCTTCTCTCCTTTCACCCAGTACCTCATTTGCCAAAAAACTGAAAGAAAAGTCTGCTTTAGCTTCTTGTTTCCCCAAATCAGGATGAATGGGTGGATTGAAGGATAGCTGAATCTAATAGCTTTGCAGAACATGAAGACAGGTTTGTTTTCCAGACTTCCAAAACTCCAAACTGATATCATTATGGACAGAAAGTAAATGGCACATAACAAGAGGAAGGAGATCACAGTTTGCAAAGCTTTTATGTGGACCTTCGTGCTGGGATCTTGAGATCCTTTACCACGGAGCTGCATCTTCTTGAGATGTTTACACAAAGAACAGATTAACAGCATAAAAGATAGTAGGGTCAGAGTGAAGGGTACTAAGTTTGCTACCATGGTTACAGTCATATTTGAAAAGTACATTGCACTCTTCAATTTGATCTTCCAAGTCATGTTTCCTTCAAATTCTTTTGTCCGCACAATCTCATTCATGTTTATCACAAAAAGATGACAAGCCAAAAATAGCAAAGGCCCCAACAACATCACCAGAATGACACTCTTAACTCTCCTCTTTAAGTGAAGAAAAATAAAGTTGGAGAAATTGGCAATCTTGAGCAAATAAAATATGCTGAGGGTAGTAGCAAGCCAGTTGCTGAAATGGTTGATCACTGCCCAGATATTATAAGCAGTAGTTCTTACTTCTACACTATTAAAAGCTGGATTCAACACAGTTGAATACCAGTTTAATAATAATACCCAGAGCAAACCAACTCTGGAGACCGCCAGAGCAGTGAGAATTTGGTCAGCAAAGGAGATCTTTTGTCTCTTGAACGACTCAATGGAATTTACCAGTGCTATGAAGCCATTAGCAAAATTTCCAATAACAAATGTAACCACTACCAGACTGGAAAAAATGATGGGTAGAAAAGTTATCATGTCTGAACAGACAAAAAAAATTTTTTTAAATGCTGGTGTTGTGTCCGGAATTGGTTCCTGCAGGTGGGTTCGTGGTCTCGCTGACTTCAAAAGGGAGCCACTGACCTTCACGGTGAGTGTTGCTGCTCTTAAAGATGGTGTGGACCCAAAGAGTGAGCAACAGCAAGGTTTATTGAGAAGAGAGAAAGGACAAAGCTTCCACAGAGTGAAAGGCAACCCAGGTAGGTTGCCGCGGCTGGCTGAAGCCATGAGCTTTTATTCCCTTATTTGTCCCCTCCCATTTTCCTTTTTTGTCCTATCAGAGTGCCCTTTTATCAATCCTCCCTCCGACTGGCTACTTTTAGGATCCTGTTGATTGGTGCATTTTAGAGCGATTGGTGCATTTTACAATCCTCTTGCTAGCTACAGAGCGCTGATTGCTGTGGTTTTACAGTGCGCTGATTGGTGCATTTTACAATCCCCTTGCTAGCTTCAGAAACGTTCTCCAAGTCCCCACAAGATTCAGGAAGTATAGCTGGCTTCATCTCTCAATCTAATAAAACTGGGTGTGATTGCTTGAATATCCTGACCTTAAATTCTATATGCACCTGATTTGTGAATGTGCTGTGACATTCTTTTTACTTTTAATTGTTGTGACCAGTGTCAAGCCAGAAATAACCATGGCATGTTAACTGATGAGTTCAATGATCTCTTTATGGAAAACATTCTTATTTTCAAACAACTCAAATTAACTCATTCATTCACTGTCTGTTCTTGTTATAGGCTGGAATTATTCACACTGAAATTGACGTGAGACCTGAATCCTCATTTGCTAGTATGCAAATAGGGACATATTCACTTTCAGTGTTTGCAATTTTTCCTTGTGTAAACTCTCCATCATTTATCTTTAGTGACTTCAGTTGTTAGGGAAGTTTTGTAACTTAATATATATATCATCCAGTAAATGTCTAAATTCTCAAAGGGAGCTTGGTCATAACTAAGATCATCACCAATGCGGACTTTTTTAAATCACAGATTTAAATACACAGAATCCTAACTGCTTTTATCAAAGGCATCTCAGATTTTCTTGAGAACCACAGGCAGGCCAATCCTCCATAAGATCTGGTTGCTGCTAATACTTTCGTATAACTTCATTATTCACAAACTCATAAATATGCACACAAATACACACGTGCACACCACTTATGAATGGAACAAATTATTTTCTTGTAATTTCCAAAATAAAAAATGAGTTTCCAAGAGGCTGTGCAGATGAAATTAGTCCTATTTTCCCGGGTTTTCAGCCCATGAATAATATTTATTTATCAAACATATCTCTAATTCTTAGGACTTGGTAAAGTTCGTCTCAAGTCTAATGTTTAAATATTTATTATTATACAAAATATTTAGCAATTTTATAACAATTCCTGAGTACCAGACCCTTTGATATAGAATCCTGCAGTATCCTCCTATCACAGGAAGACTGACTACCTTACCCCTGAACTTGGAATTCAATCATTTCACTTATTTTGATAAACAAAAAATTACTACAGTTTGCATAGAGATTTGAGATGGCTTCCATACTGGGGATTCTTCCTCTTTCCATAGAGATTTGAGATGGCTTCCATACTGGGGATTCTTCCTCTTTCCATTTACCATGAGAATATCGCCTGGCTAGTACACTGTTCCCAGAAGAAGAATGAGAAACTATTGAAGTCAGATTGCCGCCACCTGATCCAGACTAAATTGGCAAAACTCTAACGTCCTCCAAGATGCAGAATTTGGCCCATCTCAAATCACGACAGCCATCCACCAAACCTGGCTTAGAAAAATAAAATCCAGGTCCAGTGCGGGCAAGGCTGAGGAAGGCAGATTATGAGGTCAAGAGATGGAGACCATCCTGGCCAACATGGTGAAACCCCGTCTCTACTAAAAATACAAAAATTAGCAGGGCATGGTGGTGTGGGCCTGTAGCCCCAGCTACTCAGGAGGCTGAGGCAGGAGAATGGCGTGAACCCCGGAGGCGGAGGTTGCAGTAAACTGAGATCACGCCACTGCACCCCAGCCTGAGTGACAGAGCAAGACTCTGTCAAAAAAAAAAAAAAAAAAAAAAAACCCGACGTCAAACGACATGTGAGATATAAATATCTAATGTAGGTTTGGAGGGTTTTCTCCTGCACAAAAACATAACTGATAAAAGAACTCTGCTAAACCAAGAGTGTGGGAAATATGTACAACCTTGTTGTGTCAGGAATTCAGGAGCCAAAAGAAAAAATAGATGGGGAATGGCAAAGGTTTGTCCTGTGAGATGGATAATTAAGGCTAGAAGAAATCCTTTGGAAAGATCTGGGGGTGGCAGATAACATCATCTCAAATTTTCTTATGTTGCAACTAAATAAGAAAGTTCCTATTTCAACTATCTTAGAATTGTGTAAGAATGTATACAAATATTTGATATTTCCCTTCGGTATATAATGAGATGAGTAATAATAATTTCTATATTTCTCCTAATTACAAATTTGTATATTAAAGTTATAATGCGCACTTAGAAATGAACCAATACAAAACTGGGAAATTCCACAGTGTATCATAAACACTCAAGTAACTATGATGAAGGGCAAGACAAGGAACACCTAAAACAGGCTAGATCCACCTCCATTCCACTTTCCAAGTCCCTAAACCCTTCTTCGCATCTCCTGATATAAGCAATATCCATAATTTATAATGGTTATTTCCTCAATTTTCTTCATACTTTACCAACTAGGTATGCAACCCTAAACTCCATCGCTTGGTCTAGCCTACTTTGAACGCTGTATAGGTGCAATCCTACATGTTCCTCTTGTTTGTGGCTTCCTGAACTCAACATTATGTTTCTGAAATTTAGTCACATAGTTGCAAGCACATGTGATTTTTTTTCACTTCTCTATATTGTTCCATTGCATGGAATTACTGTAATGATTCATCCAACCTTAATATGTATTTGGCCAGTTTCTTTTTTGAACAGTTATGAATAATTCTACTAGAACATTCTTTCATATATCATTTGATACAATTCCTTTGCATATATACCTATGAGTAGAATTATATTATCATTGTTCAAAATCTCCTCATAGACATAGAAAAGTTCAGAAAATAATTTAACTAAACTTACTCCTGTCACCTTTACCTCCATTCTATTTTTTGCCATTTGCATGTCTTATCAATTGTATAATTACCCCAACAAGACATTATTATTTTCTAAACATTCATTTAGAATTATGCACATATTTACCACTTTCATTAATTTGTATTCCTTCTTGCATATTCAACTTAATATTTTCAATAAGACCATTTATTGGCCAGGCAGGGTAGCTCACACCCATAATCCCAACATTTTGTAAGGCTGGGGCAGGAGCACCCAGGAGTTCAAGACCAGCCTGTGCAACACAGCAAAACTGCCTCTACAATGAATGAAAAAGTTAGTCAGGCATAGTGAAGCTACTCACAAGGCTGAGGTGGGAGGATGGTTTGAGCCCAGGAGTTCCAGACTGCAGTAAGCCATGATCCTACCACTGAACTCCAGCGTGGACAACAGAGTGAGAATCCAACTCTACCAACAAAAATAATAATAATAATAATTTTTCTTTTATCTGAAAAGATATATTTTAAATTTCTGTTTATCAAGATCTATTCTACTTTTGAAATACACTGAAGACATGAATCCATTGAACTCTAGCTTTATTTTTGTCTGTTGAAAATCAGCTTGTCGTTTAGACAGTTATTCCCTTTAACATAATCTATCTTTTCCTCTAGTTACTTTTCAGGTTTTCTATTGGTCTTTGATGTCCTGTCATTTTATGTTAATTTGGTTTTAGTTATCGTGTCTGAAGTCTGATAGTTTCTAAAAATATATGAACTGATATACTTTATCACTTTTGGAAAAATCTCCACATTGCTTCTGCCCCATTTGCTCTCTTCTAATCTTCTGGAACTGCAGAAGTATGTTAGTTGTTCTGATTGTAGCTTCACTGTCTGTGGCCCTCTAGCCTTATATTTTCTACCTCTTGGTCTCTTTATGCTTCATTCTGGGTAGTTATCTTCCAATTCACTAATTCTTTCTTATGTTTAACTGGTTGTTAACGCTATTGGATTCTCAAAATTGATGACCCTTTTTTTTGTCTTATTGTTTTAGAGGTAGAAATGAACTTTTTGTTCTCCTTATATAAATCGTTTTCTAACGGAGAAACTAAACCAATATTCCTAAAATCAAGTTATTAAAAAAAGTTTTTTTAAACTTTTAGTATACCTGACATGAAAATGGTAATGATATTTTTATTTTTGTAATACTTTGGTCAAAGAAGAGAGTAAAAGCAGGATCTAGGCAGCCTCATGAAACTCGGAAAAAACTGGAAATTGATTTCATGTCAATAGCTTTTTTTGGATAGTAGCTTATCTGTTGCTGGGTCATCACCACAAACTCTTTTCACAGGGAAATTCAATGAGCAGCACTGGATCTCAAAATGTCATTAATTACATATAGAATCTCAACCACAGCTCCATCATTCTATTCCATTATTTAAATTTTATGCGGTTTTTGTTTTTTTTGTTGTTGTTGTTGTTGTTTTTGAGACGGAGTCTCGTTGTCTCCCAGGCTGGAGTGCAGCGGCGCGATCTCGGCTCACTGCAAGCTCTGTCCCCCGGGTTCACGCCATTCTCCTGCCCCAGCCTCCCAAGTAGCTGGGACTACAGGCACCCACCACCACGCTCGGCTAATTTTTTCGTATTTTTAGTAGAGACGGGGTTTCACCGTGTTCCCCAGTATGGTCTGGATCTCCTGACCTCGTGATCCGCCCACCTAGGCCTCCCAAAGTGCTGGGATTACAGGCGTGAGCCACCGCGCCTGCCCTATGCTGTTTTAATTAGCAAAAATCAAAATTTCTTAGTTTATAACAATCATTAAAATATCAAATAGTAAAACATTACTTACGAGTTTATCAACAAATGAAGGACATCTGATATAAGTAGACTTTAAGTCCCATGGAAACAAAACTGAATCTGGTGCTTCTGTGGAATTCCACCATTTAATCCTATCCATGAATATAGTTTTGGTTATAGAACTACAACCTTCTAACTCCATCATCACTCACTCAAGTGTGACAGAAGATCTGGGGTCTTACCTCTGTTTGACAGTTTGGTCCTAAAATCCGCTCTTTAGAAATAAAAGCGTGCTCAAAAAATGTGTTATTTGCTGTATCTTTCTTATTAAGGAATTTTATTTACACGAAAATTAAATTGTTTCTATCATGAGCATAGTGAAAGGAGGATTCACTGACGGTCATCCATAAATAATTATTTGCTTAAGCAATGTACTGTAAAATAAACTACACTTAATTTCTAAATCTAAATGTATTGGAGCTTGACTTGAACTTTGCTGTTTACTATTGTAACTTTCCCACAATGATGATCTTTTTAAAATTACTTATTTTCCAAATTATGTATTTAAATATTTCAAAAACAAATCATTTCATGAGATAGATGAAGATATAGATGATGAAGAGAATGATGATGGCAGGTGAAAGGGAGAATGCTATTTGGTAAATGTGATTTCAGGCTTGTTTCTAAGTACTGGAGCTCAGCGTGATGAGAGAACACTATTATTCTTCCTCATGGCCTCACGATTCTTCTATGATTCTCAGCATTAGGCCTAGACAAGTACCCTCACATGGTATTCATCAAGAATAATGTAAAACCAACATATTTTCAACGATTTATTTGTTTTTTTTTCTTTACTACATTTTAAAATTCGATAAGAAAAGCGACCTCCAACAATTAGGATTCTATTTTGGGATTTTTTTTGGCATTTTCAAATACAAACATGGACAAATATTCTATGCAATAATACAGTATATCAACTTTAGTTTATATTTTAATAGCATCATTAGCAAGCCAAATTCTTGTAAATGCTTTTTCCCATTCTTAGCTATGGTGACTAAATCTGGATTATTTTACTATAGCAGTCAAAGTAGAATTATATATGCACAAACATACTCAAAGATCATGCTAAATATGTTTTATACCTTAAAAAATTTGCCTTTCTATGGTATTTTTCTCTAATGTAGAGCCAAAAAATTTATAGTAACAAAATATTTAACCCAACACACAGGTGTACACATGAATAGTATTGTGAAATTAAAATGCTAAAAATATGAATATAAATATTTCATTTAGAGACACATTTTTGGATATATTTATTTTATTTAATATCCATTGTAGTATAATTTATTGGAAATTCATGAATTTCTAACACTTTCAAATGTGTATCATAAATAATCAAATTGGAAATAAAAAGTGTCTATCAATAATAAATATTCAAATTTTGATGTTTCAAATTCATATTAGCATTAAGAAGGTGGATTTACAGTTCTTGCTTATCTCTCCCTTTTTTAAATTAATTTAAGAAAAGTTTTGGGCCAGGTGTGGTGGCTCACACCTATAATCCCAGCATTTTGAAAGGCTGAGGGAGGTGGATTGCCTGAGCACAAGAGTTCAAGCCCAGCCTGGGCAACATGGCAAAACCATGACTCTAAAAAAAAAAATACAAAAAATTAGCAGGGCGTGGTGGTGCACGCCTGTTGTCCTAGATATTCAGGAGGCTGAGATGGGAGACTCACTTGAGCCCAGGTGACGGAGGCTGCACTGAGCCAAGATTCTGCTTCTGCACTCCAACCTGGGCAACAGAGTGAGACTCTGTCTCAAAATAAAAAAAGAAAAGTTTTAAATTTTAATTTGGATTTCTTAGTACCATAATGTTCTATTCTCCTTTATTCAGCAAAAACTCTAATTAAAATGGTATCTATAAGAATATGCTGTATCACCCTAATTTTATACTTAGAAATATATTTTATGTTTCTGCTTTTTTAACATTTTTTATTGTGGAGCATAACATACATATAGAGAGTAACAGCACAAAAGAAAGAGAAAGAGAAAAAATTATAACATTAATATGGATGTTACCACACATTGGTAAGAATATAGAATTTGCCAGCCATCCAGACAATCCCAATATGTCTTCTTGTTGATATTTTCCTCCCTCTTGACTATCCCAATTGTTATCATGATCACTCATGTTTCACTGTAGAGTTTTATCACCAATGTAATAAATTACAATTATTAAAAATGTTTTTCAAACTTTATGTAAATGAGATTATACTAAATGTATTTTTCCTCTTGATAATTCCTCTCACATCTGTATTATTATCTATGTAGCTTGCATTTGTTCATTTTCTTTGTTGTATTATTCTGCTGTAAACATGTCAGTCTTGTTTGTTAATTTTGATTGCTGTATAGTATTCCATTGTATAAGTATGCCACAATTTGTTTATTCATTTGGAGGACTGATAGACATTTGGAGGACTTCTCAACTTTAGCTATTGAAACTCAGTGATATGCATGTGAATGTATATGTATTCTGATAAGCGTATAAGTACTGGGACTTTTTTTTTTTTTATTAAATATCAGCTTTGTTTATTAGCCGCATCTAATCACATAGACTTAATTTCAAAGCTTCATTCAGTCATTTGCTGTCTGTACGATCTTGAGGCAAGTCATTCTGGTTTTTGAGCCTCGATTTCTTTTTCTTTTTTTTTTTTTTATTATACTCTAAGTTTTAGGGTACATGTGCACATTGTGCAGGTTAGTTACATATGTATACATGTGCCATGCTGGTGCGCTGCACCCACTAATGTGTCATCTAGCATTAGGTATATCTCCCAATGCTATCCCTCCCCCCTCCCCCGACCCCACCACAGTCCCCAGAGTGTGATATTCCCCTTCCTGTGTCCATGTGATCTCATTGTTCAATTCCCACCTATGAGTGAGAATATGCGGTGTTTGGTTTTTTGTTCTTGCAATAGTTTACTGAGAATGATGGTTTCCAATTTCATCCATGTCCCTACAAAGGATATGAACTCATCATTTTTTATGGCTGCATAGTATTCCATGGTGTATATGTGCCACATTTTCTTAATCCAGTCTACCATTGTTGGACATTTGGGTTGGTTCCAAGTCTTTGCTATTGTGAATAGTGCCGCAATAAACATACGTGTGCATGTGTCTTTATAGCAGCATGATTTATAGTCCTTTGGGTATATACCCAGTAATGGGATGGCTGGGTCAAATGGTATTTCTAGTTCTAGATCCCTGAGGAATCGCCACACTGACTTCCACAATGGTTGAACTAGTTTACAGTCCCACCAACAGTGTAAAAGTGTTCCTATTTCTCCACATCCTCTCCAGTACCTGTTGTTTCCTGACTTTTTAATGATTGCCATTCTAACTGGTGTGAGATGATATCTCATAGTGGTTTTGATTTGCATTTCTCTGATGGCCAGTGATGATGAGCATTTCTTCATGTGTTTTTTGGCTGCATAAATGTCTTCTTTTGAGAAGTGTCTGTTCATGTCCTTCGCCCACTTTTTGATGGGGTTGTTTGTTTTTTTTCTTGTAAATTTGTTTGAGTTCATTGTAGATTCTGGATATTAGCCCTTTGTCAGATGAGTAGGTTGCGAAAATTTTCTCCCATTCTGTAGGTTGCCTGTTCACTCTGATGGTAGTTTCTTTTGCTGTGCAGAAGCTCTTGAGTTTAATTAGATCCCATTTGTCAATTTTGGCTTTTGTTGCCATTGCTTTTGGTGTTTTGGACATGAAGTCCTTGCCCACGCCTATGTCCTGAATGGTAATGCCTAGGTTTTCTTCTAGGGTTTTTATGGTTTTAGGTCTAACGTTTAAATCTTTAATCCATCTTGAATTGATTTTTGTATAAGGTGTAAGGAAGGGATCCAGTTTCAGCTTTCTACATATGGCTAGCCAGTTTTCCCAGCACCATTTATTAAATAGGGAATCCTTTCCCCATTGCTTGTTTTTCTCAGGTTTGTCAAAGATCAGATAGTTGTAGATATGCGGCATTATTTCTGAGGACTCTGTTCTGTTCCATTGATCTATATCTCTGTTTTGGTACCAGTACCATGCTGTTTTGGTTACTGTAGCCTTGTAGTATAGTTTGAAGTCAGGTAGTGTGATGCCTCCAGCTTTGTTCTTTTGGCTTAGGATTGACTTGGCAATGCGGTCTCTTTTTTGGTTCCATATGAACTTTAAAGTAGTTTTTTCCAATTCTGTGAAGAAAGTCATTGGTAGCTTGATGGGGATGGCATTGAATCTGTAAATTACCTTGGGCAGTATGGCCATTTTCACGATATTGATTCTTCCTACCCATGAGCATGGAATGTTCTTCCATTTGTTTGTGTCCTCTTTTATTTCCTTGAGCAGTGGTTTGTAGTTCTCCTTGAAGAGGTCCTTCACATCCCTTGTAAGTTGGATTCCTAGGTATTTTATTCTCTTTGAAGCAATTGTGAATGGGAGTTCACCCATGATTTGGCTCTCTGTTTGTCTGTTGTTGGTGTATAAGAATGCTTGTGATTTTTGTACATTGATTTTGTATCCTGAGACTTTGCTGAAGTTGCTTATCAGCTTAAGGAGATTTTGGGCTGAGACGATGGGGTTTTCTAGATAAACAATCATGTCGTCTGCAAACAGGGACAATTTGACTTCCTCTTTTCCTAATTGAATACCCTTTATTTCCTTCTCCTGCCTGATTGCCCTGGCCAGAACTTCCAACACTATGTTGAATAGGAGCGGTGAGAGAGGACATCCCTGTCTTGTGCCAGTTTTCAAAGGGAATGCTTCCAGTTTTTGCCCATTCAGTATGATATTGGCTGTGGGTTTGTCATAGATAGCTCTTATTATTTTGAAATACGTCCCATCAATACCAATTTATTGAGAGTTTTTAGCATGAAGGGTTGTTGAATTTTGTCAAAGGCTTTTTCTGCATCTATTGAGATAATCATGTGGTTTTTGTCTTTGGCTCTGTTTATATGCTGGATTACATTTACTGGGACTTACATTACATTACTGGGACTTAGGATGTGATCCTTCATCTTAATCAGATAATGCCATACTCAGCCGAAATGATGTCACAGATTTATAATTCTAGGAGTAGTGTATGAAAATTCCCATTGTGTTGTATCCTTTCCAAAATAAGTAATGTCAATTTCAAATACTCTTTTGTTATAAGCAAGTGTACTTATACTGGAAATACTTCCTTTAATCAATCATTATGTCAAATGACTTTGAAAAAATAAAATTTGTTAACAGCATACTGTAAGGGACATTTCAGGATTGTTGAACAACTCTTAAAAGGACTCAAAGAAAAAAATATTGAAATATAAAAATAGTCTACAAGTTTATGGTAGGTGTCCATGGGAAAATATAAATATATTATTGTTGTTATTGAAAAAATGATTGGTAGTAAACTTATCATGTCTGAATTTTTTTAAAGGCAGGCCTGATATCCTGTCAAGATTCCCTTTAAGATCCTGACCTTTACTTCTATTTCTGATTCCTGAATGTGCAGTAATGTTGTTTTTCCTTTTAAATTCTGTGACCAATGTCAAACAGGAAAGCATCTCAATATGCCAATGGATGAAATCAATGCTCTCTTTATGGAAAATATGATAATTTCCAAAACAGCACAAATTAACTCTTGTTCAAACACAATGTCCTTGCTGTAAGATAAAATTTTTCACATCGTTGTTGAAGTAAAAGCTGAATTCTCATCTACTAGCATGCCAATGAAGAGTTTTTTAAATGTTCTGCAATTTTTTTTCTTGTTTAAACTCTCCATAATTTGTGTTCAGCCATTTTACAACCCAATACATAGATGACACATTGGTTGTATTACCTGGTAGAGGGAGCTTGGGCATAACTAGGATCATCACCAAAGTAGATCTATATTTTCAACGCCAGTAATATGTAGAATGAATCCCGTCTTTTCCTACCAAAAGTATTTAAGGTTTTCTTGGGAACCTCAGAAAGGCGAATAATCCTTAAATCCTGGTGGCTACTAATACTTTTGTATAACTTATTGTTTACAAGCTCATTCATACGAACACATTCACAAACATACACACATACATACATACTCTGACCCTCTAGCCTTATATTTTCTATCTCTTGGTCTCTTTGTGCTTCATTCTGGGTAGTTATCTTACAATTCACTAATTCTTTCTTATGTTTAACTGGTTCTTAACTCTGTCTATTGGATTTTCAATATTCATTACTCTTTTTTATCTTATTGTTTTAAGGGTAGAAATGAACTTTTATTCTCTTGCTATAAATCATTTTTAATGGAGAAACTAAACAAAGTATTTATAACACCAAGTTCTTAAAAAATAGTTTTTATAAATTTTTAGTACACCTGACATGAAAATTTTAGTGATTTTCTTCTTTTTGTAATACTTAGGTCACAGAAGAGATCAAAATTATGGTCTAGGCATTCTCCTGCCACTGGGAAGAAACTGGAAATTGATTTGATGTGAGTAGCTTCTTTTGAATAGTAACTTGTCTGTTGCTGGGTCATCACCACAAACTCTCCTCAAAGGGAAATTCAGTGAGCAGCACTGGATCTCAAACTGTCATTACAATTAATAAAATAGAGTATCCCAACTACAGCTCCACCTTTCTATTCCATGATTTAAATTTTACTCTGTTTTTATTAGCAGAAATCAAGACTTCTTCATTTATAACAATCTTCAAAAGATCAAAGAGTAAAACAGTACTTACAAGTTTATGAAAGATTGAAGAACTTTTAAGTCTCATGGAAACAAAACTGAATCTGGTGTTTCTAAAGAATTCCACCATTTAATCCCTATCCATAGTATAGTTTTGTTTATAGAACTATAACTTTCAAACTCCACCATCACTCACACAAGTGTTTCAGAAGATCTGAGGTCTTAACTCTGTTTGACTATTTGGTCCTAAAATCCTCTCTTAGAAATAAAAGCTAGCTCATAAAATGTATTATTTGCTTTATCCTTCTTATTGGGTAGTTTTAGTTACACTAAAATCTAAATTGTTTCTATACTGATCATAATGAAACAAGGATTAGTTTAAGCTCATCCATAAATAATTATTTGCTTAAGCAATATATTGTAAAATAAGCTATACCTAATTTCTAAATCTACATGTATTGAGCATGACTAAGCTTTGCTGTTTACTCCTGTAATTTTCCCACAATGACGGTCTTTTTAAAATTACTTATTTTCCAAATTACGTATTTTTTAAATTAACTTTTCTTTTTTTGTGTGTTTTTTTATTTTTTTTATTTTTTATTTCTTTGTTATTATTATACTTTAAGTTTTAGGGTTACATGTGCACAATGTGCCGGTTAGTTACATATGTATACATGTGCCATGCTGGTGTGCTGCACCCATTAACTCGTCATTTAGCATTAGGTATATCTCCTAATGCTATGTATTTAAATATTTCAAAAATAAATCATTTAATGAGATGTATATATAGATGATGATGATAATAATTATGGCAGGTAAAAGGGAGAATGCTATTTGATAAATGTGATTTCCATCTTGTTTTTTAAGTACTGGAGTTCAGGGTAATGAGAGAACCCTACTATTCTTCCTCATGGTCTCATGTTTCTTCTATGATTCTCAGCATCAGGCCTAGAGAAGTATCCTCATGTGGTAGTTTATCAAGAATAATGTAAAACCAACATATTTTCAAGAATTTCTTTGCTTTTTTTTTCTTTTACTACATTTTAAAAATTCATAGCAAAAGTGACATCCGACAATTAGGATTCTATTTTGGGGCTTTTTGGGCATTTTTCAATATGAATATAGAAAAATACTCTCTGCAATAATACAGTCTATCAACTTTATTTCATCTTTTAATAGCATCATTAGCAAGCCAAATTCTTGCAAGGCTTTTTCACATTCTTAGCTATGGTGACTAAATCTGGATTTTACTATAGAAGTCAAAGTAGCATTATATATGCACAAACATACTCAAAGATCATGCTAAATAAGTTTTATATCTTAAATTTGCCTTTCTATGATTTTTTTCTCTAATGCAGAACCAAAAAATTTATATTAACAAAATATTTTACCCAACACACAGGTGTACACATGATTAGTATTGTGAAATTAGAATGCTAACAATATGAATACAAATATTTCATTTAGAGACACATTTTGGGATAATAGGTCTATATATTTAACCTCCATCGTAGTATAATTTATTGGAAATTCATGACTTTGTGACACTTTGAAATCTGTATTAAAAATAATTAAATTGGAAAGAGAAAAAAGGTGTCTAGCCGTCATAAATATTCAAGTTTTGATGTTTCAAATTCATATTAGCATTAAGAAGGTGGATTTACAGTTCTTGCTTATATCTTCTTTTTCAAAAAATAATAATTTAAGAAAATTTTCAGGACAGGTCTAGTGGCTCACATCTGTAATCCCAGCATTTTGGAAGGCTGAGGCAGTTGGATTGCCTGAGCACAGGAGTTCAAGTCCAGCCTGGGAAACATGCCAAAACCCTGTCTCTACCAGAAATAGAAAAAATTAGCAGGGCGTGGTGGTGCACTCCTGTTGTCCTAGCTACTCTGGAAGCTGAGATGGGAGAATTACTTGAGCCTGGATAGCAGAGGTTGCACTGAGCCAAGATTCTGCTTGTGCACTCCAGCCTGGGCAACAGAGAGAGACCATGTCTCAAAACAATAAGAAAAATTTTAAATTTTAACTTGGATTTCTTAGTACCATAATGCTCTATTCTCCTTTATTCAGCAAATACTCTAATAACAATGGTATCTATAAGAATATGCTGTATCACCCTAATTTTATATGTAGGAATGTATTTTATGTTTCTGCTTTTTTAACTTTTTTTTTTTTATTGGGGAGCATAACTTACATATGGAGCATAATAAAACCTAATAAACAGTAAGAGAAAAAATTATAACATTAACATCGATGTTACCACACCTTGGTCAGAAAATAGAATTTGCCAGTAATCCAGACACTCCCAATATATGTCTTCTTGCTGATATTTCCCGTTTATCTCCTCCCTCCTGATTATCCCAATTGTTATGATGATCACTCATATGTTTCACTGTAGAGTTTTATCACCAATGTAACAAATTACAATATATTAAAAATATTTTTCTTGAACTTTATGTAAATGAGATTATACTGAATGTATTTTTCCATCTTGATAATTCCTCTCACATTTGTGAGATTATCTATGTAGCTCAAATTTGTTCATTTTCTTTGTTGTATTATTCTGTTGTAAACATGTCTGTCTAGTTCATTAATTTTGATCACTGTATAGTATTCCATTGTATAAGTATGCCACAATTTGTTTATCCATTTGGAGGTCTGAAAGACATTTGGAGGACATGCATAAAGATAAATTTATATTCTTATTTCATACCATACACAAAAAATAACTCATATTTGATTATAGAGCTATATGTAAAAGGTGAGATTAGTAACTAAGATACTAAAACATACTACCTGTACAACTGCAAGTAATATAAGTGGGTTAATCAACCATAATTCCATCTGTATATTTCTCTACTTAGATCATTATTTCTATAATAATAATAATCCCCTGCATAGTAATCTATCAATATCTATAATGCTATTTTAAATAAAACTAAATTAGATGGTGGGTCACCGTCACTCTGATTTAGTGGAAATTCAAGCAAAAATATTATTGATACTCCATCTTTCTCCTTAGATTTTTGGTATTATTACTTCTTTCTATTTTTCATTTTTTGAGACACGTTCTCACTCTGTAGCCCCAAATGGAGTGCAGTGGTTTGAGATTGGCTCACTGCTGTCTACAGTTCCAGCCTCAAGCTATCCTCCCACATTAGCCTCCCAAGTAGCTAGGACTACAGATGGATGCCACCACACCTGGCTAATTGTTGTATTTTTACTAGAGACTGGGCTTCGCCGTTCTTCCCAGGTTGGTCTCCACTAATTGCGCTGAAGAAATCTGCCTGCCTAAACCTCCCAAGCTGCTCAATTACGGGCTTAAGCCAGAGCACCCACCATCGTACTATTACTTCTAAATGTAAATTTGACATTTGAAGGAAAAATATTTACATAATGTGCTATATACCAAGATATGTGAATAAATAAACAATATAAATGGATAATCACCCTTATGCCTGTCTGTTGACTGATTTGACTACATTGTCAGTAAGGAGAATACATGAGATCACCAACACAACAGGCATCATTGTAGAGATTGAAGAATTGAGACCCTGTTGAAAATTGGTATTTTCAGTTTAGAGACAAAAAAGAACTAGCAAAGGAGACTGAGAAGTGCTGCCCAGTGAACAAAGATAAAATCAGGAGAGGACAGCATCCTGAAATGCAAATAAACTATGTTCAATGTGGCTAATAGAGCATGCAACATGAAGACTAACCTCAGCAACAGACTCTGGTGATCTTGCAAATGTCAGAATCAATGAAACGATGACAGTAGCAGCTTCATTGGAATGAGTTCATAAGCCAATAGTTGAAGAGGCTTCATACTTTGATAAATACTTATAAACCAAGAGCAAAATGGAGCTGAAAAGCTGATTCCTGAGGTCAGCCTTAGAAGTGGAAAATCCAAGAACCTCAACCAGTTGTCAGGACTGAGCCAATTCAGAGAACAAGAATTCAATAACTGAAGGGAAGCTTAAGTCCCCTTGATAAAAGATGCAGAAAATTCACCACAGAATATTCAGAATGTATTCATATGATGCTTTCTCAAAGACCTGTAGCCATTTCCCAGATAATAGTACTCAGAGGGAAGGACACACATCCATATCATCTGAGACTTTTAGGTATAGGGCTCTTACAGTACGTAGTTAGTCAGGCATGAGTAGGGCAGAAGAAGGCTCCCACCACCCACAAGGAATGTCAAGTGGCCATCAGCTGATGGCCTGGCAGTTGACACCCTGCCTCTCTAAAAATAATAATTGGTCATAGGTGCCAGGGAGAGGCATTTCACAATAAATAAAAACGCTTAAAATTGGTAGTCAGCAGCTCAGGAATAGGGTGAGTAGGCTGAGGCATGCGTGTTAAGAGAGAAAATGGTGGAATATGACCTTCTGTGGGCATTCCACCAAAAAAGGGAAGAATGCCTCAGGCAAGCATGTGTACAATTCCAGTAAACACACTGCGCATGCTCACCTCTAAAGTGTTAGCAAGCTACCATGCATGTGAGCAGCCCACCCTAAGGGGCTGAATCATGGAAAAAGGAACACAAGACCCTAAGAGAAGAATCGTGGGAAAAGGAACACAAGACCCCAGAAGTATACCAACATATAAAACCACAAGTCAAAGGTGTGACACTGCACTTGATCTCCAAAGTGCCCACTGTGGTCTCTTCCAAGTGTCTTCCAAGAGACTTCCAATAAAGTCTCTTCCTTTCTTTCCTGCTCTCTTTTTAATAAACTTCCATTCCTGCTCAGAAACTTCCTTCAGTCTCTTCTTACGTATGCCCCTCAGTTGAATTCCTTCCTCTGGGGAGGCAAGACTTGACGTTGCTGCAGACTCGTATGAAATTGCCACCAGTAAACCAGATATTGGCCACCCCAGCAGAGCCTGAACTAACACTAATATCTAGGTACCCCAAAGACAACGTGTTCCATGAGATGGAATGGGAGATTTTCTTTTTAATGTTCTTTTGTTTTTTGTGTTATTTGCCTTAGGTTTTTTTTAGAGACACAGCCTCAATCTGTCACCCAGGCTGTATCTAGTACAGTGGCATGATCATTACTCACTACAGCCTTGAACTCCTGGGTTTGTAACAGATTGCCCCATTTTTTTCTAAGAAAAAGAGAATGATTTACTGTTTTTTTAATTATTATTTTCTCTTCTCTTCTCTCCCCTTTCTCTTTGTTCCCTGTATCCTGCTTAGCCCTTCATAAATGCAAATATAACCTTTCACTCCCACTCACTAGACATTCCCTACAGGGCACATTTTCTAACTTACTGCTCCAAGACAGATTCTCCTGAGAACTGACAGTCAATTTGCAGACCAAAGCACACCCGCCACAGAATTTTTACCTCCAGAAAGTGGACCTGGAAATTCCAGACTCTTCTCCACTCTAGGAATTACCCAAGGGCTTTCATCCAACAGGAGGGCATATGGAAAACATACCCACTTGGCCACTTTTATAACGTATTTCTGCAAAGGAAGGCACCAATTCAACTATCTGGTAGTGTAGGGGTTCAGTCAGAATGGTAGGGAAAAGTATAAAACAAAACAAAAACCTTCTTGGAAGACCAAAAGTTTTTGCATAGCTTCAGATAGTTTGGCTGAAGGCAGCCAGTCTCTTTGCTGGAGCCTGGGCACTTGGGGCACAGATACAAAGGAATGTATAGTAGTTTATCTAAAGAGCTTGTTTACTCAGGTAGTCCTAAAGCTAACCTTTCATCACTCACAGGCAGGATTGCTCTCCTGGGGGAAGGTGACCAGGTTGATTACCCTCTAATGGTGTTGACTCAAAGCGTTTGTCATTTAATGTGTTCTAAATAAATGCCAAGAAGGCCAGCAAGTTGGGGCGGCAGCTGACAGCACTCTTCCTTAGAGTCTGTAAGTGGCCAGGATGCTCAGCTGGACTGACAAGCAAAATATATGTGTCAGTGTATATTACTCCTCTGTCATTGAGTCAGGATCTGCAGGACAGACCCCCGCATGGTAGAAAAGGCACCAAGCTTGCAGAAGGACCCTCTACCCTTGCTCAATAACCCCCCTTATCTTATAAAAGTGTCTGCTTTCTGCTCCAAAGGTGAAGTGGTACACTTAAAGGCAGGACTCTTTGTGCCCCTTCCCCAAGCTAGGTTTGGAATAAATTCATTACTTTTCTACCAGGCATCACTCTTGTTAACAGTACTCTGGATGTGGCCAGCAACTGACTCACATATTGTTTTTAGGTTCAAGGGAGTATCCTGCCTCAGCCTCCTGGATAACTGGGACTACAGGTGAGCACCACCATGCCAAACTAATTTTTTGTTGTTGTTTTTTCTTTTTTTAGTTTTTGTACAGACAGGCTCTCACCATGAAGCCCAGGGTGGTCTGGAACTCCTGGCCTCAATAGATATTCCCAACTGTGCCTACCAAAGTGTGAAGACTGCAAGCATGAGCCGTCATACCCAGCCTGCACTGGGAGTTTTTGAAGGTTAGATGCTACCTAGAGTTTTGACTCATGTCCATCCCAAAGTGAATCTGATCAGTTTGCTGTTATTACCTCTTCCTGAATGTGTAATTGAAATGGACATACATGGCAGCTGGCAGGACTCTCACTTTCTTCCTGACCTGTAGAGTAAGGGACACTATTAGAGCAGGACCAAGGCGAAGCCTGCGAAATTCTCCTCCACTGGCAACAAGGATTGAAAAATAATAATCACATTCTCCAAGGAATGGAATTGATCACTACCATGACAAAACACTTGAAAGTTACAGGGGATGGTAGTCTTTTTACATCCCTCTCCACTTAACCTAACTGGTCTCTACCAAAATCAGATGCATTATAAAATGAGGGCAGAGTTCCATAAATTTAAATCACTACTTACAAATGCTCTCTAGGATAAGGTATCTTCCCTGAGCAGAGCAGAGCTTCTGGCACTTTGCATGTGGCTCTTGATTTAGTGAATGTTTCTTATTTTACACCCATGGGTGGGTCAGGAGATTAAAACAATTGACCTTTGTGTGGTAAGAACAAAAACGCTGCTTCAGTGTTTTATGTCAGGCGATGTCACTTCTGCTCTCAGTTTAATTTACATTTTGCAAAACATCATGTTAATTTATTAATAATGTTACAGTAATTGGTGCAATAACCAGGAAATGGAAAGTTTCCTAAATATAGTAAAATACTTGAACATTAAATAGAAATAAAATACCAGCAGAAAGAGATACACCTGGTAATATTTAGAGACCTGCAACACAGATATTGTTTTTAGGGGTCCCATACTCCTAGTCCACATGTCAAAAAATCTGTTTATTTATTCATTTATTTATTTATTTATTTTTGAGACAGAGTCTCATTCTGTTGCTCAGGTTGGAGCGCACTAGTGCAATCTCGGCTTACTGCAAGCTTTGTCTCCTGGGTTCAATCAGTTCAAATCTTTCAGCCTCCTGAGTAGCAGTGTTTACAGGCATGTGCCACCATGCCTGGCATTTTTTTTTTTTTTTAAGTAGAGACAGGGTTTCACCATGTTATCCAGGCTGGTCTCAAACTCATGGTCTCAAGTGATCTGCCCACCTTGGCCTCCCAAAGTGCTGGGATTACAGGCTTGAACCACCACGCCCAGCAGAAACATCCTTTTTAAGGTAAATGGCATGTTGCCCTATATATACTTCTTATCACTAAAAAGGAAGCACAGTGTTTATTGAGCCTCTTGGGGTTTCGGAGTCCACAAATACCACAATAGAGGATATTGCTCCAACGTGTTAATAAAGTCCTTTTTAAATCCCTGTTCAGTTAACCTACCTAGCCTCTGCCAAAACTAGATGGGTTGCAGAATGAATGCAAAGACTCCGGGTTTCAAGTGGAATCCAGAACATATAATATCTCTACAGCAGATATAGGCTGTGGCCAAACCTGCTCTGCCCATTGCGTCAGATGATCCAGCAGAATTCAAAGCTGCTAGAGGCATGCATCGTGGGCATTATAGGACTCTGTGCCTGTCTCCATCAAGCCCGTAGGAGAGGAGAAAGCAAACCCCTAGGGAATTACTGCAGAACTATTCCCTCTTCAGCGGAGGAGTATCCGCTGTCTGAAAAATAAAAATGCAAGTGCAGAACATTAATCCAAGCAAAAAGCCCCACAAGCACAAGACCGCGTGCAACTACACTAGTCATGTGCTTATAAAACCAGCCACAGTTGGAGGGCATGAGGACATCTGAGTGGCACAAGGTGGGGACTGTATTGGGCAAAAACATGTACTTCCTCAGATTCCCTTGACTGTGTCTCCTGTTCCCCTGGTCAGCATCTTGCCTGATCCAGATCATCTTTCCATCTGGGACTTGAATATACCTGTGGGCATGAAGTCTTGTAACAAAAAAGGTTAACGGCTCACTTCATGTAAAGTCTAATATAAAAAATAATAAAAAGTAATAAAAAAGTCTGATATAAAAATAGAGAATGTATTTGGAAGTTAGCTTGCGGGAAGGAGCACAAAGCATCCTGCCTTCTAATGTGACACTTCACCTTTGGAGCAGAAAGTGGATTTTTTTTTAAAGTTGGGAAGGAAATGAGCAGGACAGCCATTGTAGAAGTGGCCACCTGGGCATCCTCTCCACATCCCCTCCTAATGGATGTGAGGTCTAAGCTAACCCCTGGAGGTGACAGTTCCATGAGGGCATACTTTTGTCTGCAAATCAACTGTCAAGTCTCAAGGAGAGATCCTTCTTGGAGCACACAGTTAGATGAACTTGCCCGAAGGGACTGTCTGGTGAGGGGAAAGTAAACAGTTCTATGTGCATGTCTAAAAAGTTAAGTAGAAAGCAGGAAACATAGGGAAAGGGGAGAGGAGAAGAGAAAAGAAAACAAGCAAACAAACAAACAAAAACTATCTCTTAGAAAAATGGGGGTATTGGTTAGTGTGACTTTCCCAAACAGCCACCAAGGGGTTGGATAATGTAAGGAAGAAAAGCAAAGATGGTAGTTCTGCCTCAAACAATCTTTGGCCAAAGGAAAATAGAAGACAGAAGACAGCTAGGATACATTCTCCCTTTTCTCTCCTCCATGGACTAATATTTGTTGTGGCTTCCCCTTGTAACCCTTCTGGAAAAGTATGGGGAGCCAAGTGCATGTATCTGATGACCACCATGCTGTCTGTCTCACCTCATTGTGAAGCGACAACTGGCAAAGTCATATCAACATCATGACACATGATTTTACATCTTCCTTTGCCTCAGTTTCCACATGTATCCCTCATTGCTGCCCTGGACTTGCCTTCCCAAATAAATGTCATCACTGTAAAATCAGACATTGGCTCTAGTTCTAGACACCCAAAGCTAAGATATACATTCATTTGAATCACTTTTCCATGCGTTTATAACGTGGCAATTAAAACATTCATTTAGAAAGGATACTAAACAAAATAATATACAAATAATGTGTAAGTAAGGTGAGTGGTTACTAACTCAATTTTTAAAAATGAAATACCTTTTTTGTGTATCTAATAACCAGCTAAAAAATATCACAATACAAATATATCATTCACAGTAGAAAGTGATTAGGTACGTTTACAACCAGCTTAACCAGTTGCAAAGTTTGCTAGCTTTTATTTTTACTTCTTTTGAGTTCAGTTCTTTTGTATCAGCAAAGCATTGAAGGCAGCATAAGTCATATTGAAGGAGAAAGAGACATTCCCTAAAAACAAAAGTGTGTTTAGCAGCTACTGGGAAGTTCCCTAACATTCTTGTCATGGGGTCAGCTAGCCCCGAGCAGCTGGCACTCACTGCTGACCCTGACCCTGTGCAAATATACCAAAATCTTTTATATGCTTTTCAAAAAGCATTAGAATAAGTGCCATCTAATTTTGACGTTCCACCTTGTCTCTACTTCACACACCTGATATAGCTACAGCAAAGCTATATTACAGTGATATTTCCCCTAGAATTTTGGAACAGTCAAACTTTTGCTCTGAGAAATGCTTCTTCTTTGATAAGCCTATAACCTCAACCTGAAACTAGAAAATTCAAGCAACTGCAGATTTTGTGATGAGTTTCATTTTCATTGGTTTACCACATCAAATTATCCATTTATCCAATCACTTATGTGTTCATTAATATATTCTTTTGACCAACTATTCTTTGTGCTGGCTTTTAGATCCTGTGAGTCAAGAGAAAGCAAGACAGCTATTACCTCTCTTTTTATGCTGATTACATAGTACTAGGGAAGATGTATGATAAACAAAATGTATGTGTGTATATATATATTATATATATATAATATGAGGAGTTGATTTATTTTAAGGTTGAGATAACAATGTTAAAATTTCATAACACCAAGAATGAATATAGTCACACAGAATTTAGCTGTTCCACAAGGCTGTAGATTACCTTCTTATAATAGAACTTGGTATCAATGGATACATCAGCACACTTTCTATCATTTCACCATTTACATCATTATAATAAAGTCATTAATATATTTCCTATCATCAATATATAGATTTCACAGGCAATTTTTAACATTTGAAGAAAGTTTCATTCGATTATCATCTATAGTTTCTACACCCTCTTTATGTTGGGCTTTTTTTTTTAAAGAAAGGGAATATTTGAGTTTTTTTGAGGAATATTAGGAATGGGAGACAAAGAAGAATATTGGAAATTCAGAGGCTCAGAGGTTGCTAAGCAAAATAAATGGAAATACTTGACATCAGATGTCAACTTCAAAAAAGATTTTCTTTAACTCAAAAGGTGGAAGAAATGATTTTTCTAACTACACTTAAAAAATTATAATAGCACTGAAATGATCATGGTTTTGTTTCTTCATTCCTATTATAGAAATGATTTTTTTCTAAGCTATTCACATATTGGTATTAAATCTAGTATTCTTTAGTACAGTTTTGTTATACATATACAAAATTTGCCTTCCCAAAGGCAAATACATATACTCTACATGTTTGTCACTGATTTTATTTAATATGTACACTAATTTTATTGTGTACATCATTATCTAACAAAAATTCTATTTGCTTTATACTAAAAGTAAAGTAACAATTCATAATGAAATAAAACCTACTACAAAGATACAGTCTCATCATTGATTTAGAATTGAATGTCTTTACCATCCAGAAAATGAGAGGTTCAAACAATGATAGTTAAGTACATGTATGTGGTACAAATTACAATGGAAAACAGCAATGATTTTCTGATAAATGCTGTAATTTCTTAATTACAAAGAGAGATAAATTCTTCAAATGAAATATCATACAATTAGCTATCATAAAATACACATACTTATATATATGAAATATACTAGGCTTCATAATTTATGGTCAATGTTATTATTCACACACATGCACACATATACACCCATACGTATTTTATATATATATGAATTTTATATATATTATATATATATAAAAGACTATCCTAGGAATCTGTTTTGAAATTACTCAAATACATACACTACAACAAACTGACAGAAATATAAAACGTTCTAGACACCATCAGTTTCTTTTCTGCTAAAAGACACACCATGCTCCCCTTGTGAATCTATGGAGTTGAGGGTTTCTGTTATTTCACCCAGCACGTCACCTGACACAAAACTGAAAGAGAGGTCTGTTTTAGCTTCCTACTTCTCATAATCAGGATGAATGAGTGGAATGAAGGATACATGATTGCAAGAGTTTGGTAAAGCAGGAATACAAGATTGCTCTGCTGTGTCCTAGGATTCCAAGTTGATGTGATTATACACAGAAAGTAAATGGCAAATAACATAAGGAAGGAGATAACAGTTTGCAAAGGTTTTATATGGACCTTGGTGCTGAGATCTTGAGATCCTTTGCCATGGAGCTGCATCATCTTGAGATGTTTACACGGAGAACAGACTAACAGCAGAAAAGATATTAGAGTCAGAATGAACAGTGTGAAGTTTGCTAGCATGGTTGGTTATAGTCATGTTTGAAAGGTGTATTGCATTCCTCAATTCGATCTTCCAAGTCACATTTCCTTCAAATTCTTTTGTCCACACACTGTCATCCATGGTTACCACAGCAAGATTACAAATCAAAAATACCAAGGACCCCAACAGTATCACAAGAAGAACACTCTTAATTCTCTTCTTTAGGTGGAGAAAAATAAAATTGGAGAAATTGGCAATCTTGAACAAATAAAATATGCTGAGGCTCGTAGCAAGCCAAATGCTGAAATGATTGATTATTGCCGAGACATTAGAAGGAACAATTCTTACTTCTAAACTATATAAAGCTGAATTAAACACAGTTGCATACCAATGTAATAATATGATCAAAGTAAACCAATTCTGGAGAATGCCAGAGCAGTGACAATTTGGTCAGTTGAGGAGATCTTTTGTGTCTTAACCCAGTCATTGACATTAACTAGAGCTATGAAGCCATTGGCAACATTTCCAAGAACAAATGCAAACACTACCAGAATTGATAAAATGATGAGCAGAACACATATGTTTGAACAACAAAAAAAAAAAATGCAGGCTTAATAACACTGGTTGTGATTCCCTTAATATCCAGACATTAACTTCGATAAACACTTGATTTCTAAATGTGCAGTAACATTTTCTGCCTTTAAGTTCTCTAATGTCAACAGGAAAGCACCAGCATATGCCAATGGATGAATTCAAAGCTGTCTTTAGGGAAAATATTATTAATCTCAAAACAGCTGAAACTCATTCCTCTTTATAGACTATCTGTCCTTGCTATATGCTGAAATGTTTTATACTGATGTTGAAGTCAAAAGTGAATTCTCGTGTGTTAGTATGCAAATAAAGCCATATTCTTTTTCATTGTTTTGCAATTTTTTTCCTTGTTTAACCTCTCCATAATTTGTATCCAGCATCTTCAGTTGTTACATAGGGAAATTTTAAAACCCAATACATATATCATACAGTAAATGTCTAAATTGTTAAAGAAGCTTGGTCATAAATAGGATCATATCAATATGGATTTATTTTTATGCCAGATTTAAATACCAGATTCTAAACCTTTTGTCAAAATCATCCAAGGTTATCTTGGAAAGTCCTGTGAGGCCAATACACCTGAAAATCTGGTTTCTGATAACCAATACATTTATATGACATTATTGTTAATAAGCTCCTAAACACATAGACACACATGCACTCACACCATTAGGGGACGGAAGGAATTATTTTCTTATTACTCACCAAATGGAAAACGAGTTTCCAGGAGGTCATCCAGGTAGAATTAGTACTATTTTCCTATTCAGCGTTGTCAGACAATGAATAATGTTTATCAAACATGTTTCTTATGCTTAGGTCTTTGGTAAATTTACATTCAAGTCTGTTTTTTGTTTAAATTTTAATTAAAATATTCAGCAATTTTGTAAATGTTTCTAAGTACCCTACATTTTGTCATATAATCCTGCAGTATCCTCCCACCACAGGCAGGGTGACTACCTTGAACTTGGACTCTGAATTCACTCCTCTAATTTGCTTCAGTCAACAGGAAGTTAGTAGACTTTACACAGATATTTAAGACAGCTTCCATGTTGGAGTTTCCTGCTCTTTTCCTTTTACCATGAGGACATCATCTGGCTAGTACACTGTTCCCAGAAGAAGAATGAGAAACTAATGGAGTCAGAATGCCACTACCTGATCCAGCCTAAATCAGCCAAACTAGCTGCAAGATGCAGTATGTGGCCCATCTCCAATCACCAGAGCCATCTGCCAAACCAAGCTTAGAAAAACGAAATCCAAAGACTTATGAGACACAAATATCTAAAGCAGTTTTGGAGGATTTTCTCTTGCAGAAAAACATAACTGATATAGGTATTCTGCTAAACTAAGAGTGTGGGTAACATGACCACACTTGTTGTGTTAGGAATTCTGGATCCAAGGGAAAAATAGATGGAGAATGTCAAAGTTTTGTCATATGAAGTAGATAATTAAACCTAGAAGAAAAACCTATTGAAAAACGTGGGGTTGGCAGGTAACATCATGTCAAATTTCCAAAAGTTACAACTAAAATCAGAACATTTCTACTTAAAACCTCTTAGAGTTATACATGAATGTATACAAATAGTGGATTTTTCCCTTCAGTATATAATGAGCAGAGTAATAATAATTTCATGGAACATTTCTCCTCATTAACAATTTTTGTATTGTAACTAGACTGCACACTTAGAAATGAGCCAAAACAAAACTGGGAAACATAGCAATGTGTCATAAATACTCATGTAATCATCATGTAGGGCAAGACATGGAAAATTGCTAAGAGCCTAGGTTTACCTCAATGCCACTTTCCAATCTGCTACACGTTTCTTCACATCTCCTGTGATAAGCAACATCCATAATTTATGTTGATCTTTTTAAAATTTTCTTTATACTTTACCAACTAGGTATGCGACCCTAAACTCAATAGCTTGGTTTGGCCTTCTTTGAACTGTGTATAGGTGCAATTCTATATGTTCTTATTCATGGCTTCCTGAAATCAACATTCTGTATCAGAAATTTAATCCCATAGTTGCATGTACATGTGATTTATTTCTTTTCATTTCATTTCTCCATATTTTTCCATTTTATGATTTTACTGTGATTATTTATCCATCTTTATTTGATATATATTTGGGCAGCTTATTTTTTAGCTATTATGAATAATGCTTCAATGACCTACATCATTTACTACAATTCTTTTGCATATATATACCTGGGTGTAGAATTACAGGGTCCTTGATTATGATGTTCAAATTATCTGCACAGACATAGAAAAGCCCAAAACATAGTCTAACTAAATTTATTCCTGTCACCTTTATCTCCAGTCTCTTTATTGCCATTTGCATATATCTTATCAATTATAAATTTAATCTAACAAGACAATAATTTTTATACAGTCAACATTTATTTAGAATTACACTTATTTTTCATTGTCAATAATTTTTATTGCTCCTTGCATGTTCAACTTTGCATTTTCAGTCATTTTTATTTTCTCTGAAAAATATTTTCAATTTCTGTTTATGAAGTTCTACTACTCTTTGGAAATGCACTGAAGACATGTTTCCATTGAGTTCCTTCTTCCATGTTTTCTGTTAAAATCAGGTTGTATTTAGAATGCAGTTCTTTTCAACACACGACATACTCTATCTTCCACCTCTCGCTACTTTTCAGATTTTCTATTGGTCTTTGGTGTCCTGTATTATTTTATGTTAATTTGGTTTAATTTATCATGCTTGAAGTTTGAGATTACTAAAAATATATGGAGGAATACATTTTATCACTTTTGGAAAAATCCTTGCAACATTTCTCTTGCTTGATTTTCTCTCCTCTAATCTTACAGAACTCCAGAAGTATGTTAGGTGTTCTGACTGTAGCATCAATGTGATACCCTCTAGCTTGGTATATTTCCATCTGTTTCTCTCTATGCTTCATTCTGTTTAGCTATCTTCCAATTCACTAATTCTCTCTTCTACTGCATCTAACAGGCTAATTCTGTCTATTGGATTCTCAATATTGATAATTCATTTTTTTGGTCTTATTGTTTTAGTGTTCAGAATAAACTTTTATTCTCCTTCCATAAATCATTTTCTATAGGGAAACTGAACAAACTACTCTTAACACCATGTTATTTTTAAAAGTGTTTTAGATTTTGGGGTTTTTATGTTTTTTGTTTTAGTATGCTAGAAATGAAAATGGTAACAGTTTTCTTTTCCCAACACTTGGTCAGAGAATAGAATAAAAAGTTTGTCTTGGAACTTACCTTCAATTTGAAAGAAACTGGAAATTAAGTTGATGTGAGTAGATGTTTTTGGATATTAGCTTGTCTGTTGCTGGGTCCTCACCACAAACTCTGCCCACAGGGGAACTCAATGAGCAGCACTGGATCTCAAAATATCATGGCAATAGATAAAATATAGTTCATCTACCACAGCTACATTGCTGTATTCAATGAATTAATTTTCACTTTGCTTATGTTGTAGAAATGGGGCTCTGTGCCTCTGAACCCCATCATTACCTAAATGAAATAGAGAAGATGTGGGGGAAGGCTTACTTCTCTTTGATTTATTCAGCCCTAAAATCCTCTCTTTGTAAATCAGAGCTTGATCATGAAATGGTTTATTTTTCTTATTAAGGAATTTTATTTATACTAAAATCAAAATCTTTTTTATAGTGTTTCTTGGTTTAGTTTAATGTCATCTACAATTGTTTTCTTAAGCAATGTATGTTAAACTACACTACACTTAACTTTCTAAATCTAAATGTATTTATTGTTACTTGAACTTTGCTGTTTACTAATGTAACTTTCCCACAATGATATCTCTTAGAAATTACATAGATGTTACGAAATTATGTATGTAAATATTTCAAAAATAAATCATTTCATAAAACAGATGTAAATATAGATGATGATAATAATGATGATGATGTCAACTAAAAGGGAGAATGTTACCAAATAACTGTGATTTGGGTCTTCTTTTCAAAGTACTGGAGTTAAGGGTGATGGGAGAACACTCTTATTCTTCCTCATGGATTTACAATTTTTTTTTTTTCTCAGATGAAGTTTCTCCCTTGTCACCCAGGCTGGAGTGCAATGGCACAATCTCGGCTTGCAGAAACCTCTGCCTCCCTGATTCAATCAATTCTCCTGCCTCAGCCTCCCAAGTACCTATGATTACAGGTGCCCACCACCCCACCCGTCAATTTTTGTATTTTTAGTAGAGACAGGGTTTCACTATGTTGGCCAGGCTGGTCTGGAACTCCTGACCTCAGGGAATCCACTGCCTTGGCCTCCTAGAGTGCTGGGATTACAGGAATGAGCCACTGTGCTTGGCACCATTCTTATATTATTCTCAGAATCAGGCCTAGACAAATACCCTCATATAGTATTTCATCAGGAATAACGCAAAGCCAACACATTTCCAATGATTTACTTGCTATTTTTTTTCTTTCACCACATTCTAAAAATTATGGCAAAAGTGACCTAAAGCAAATAATACTCTTTTTTTGGCTGTTTAGTTTTGGTCCAGTTTCATATGAACTTACACAAATACTCTGTGCAATTATAGATTGAATAAGCTTCATTTCATCTTTTAATAGCATCATTACCAAGTTAAATTCTCTTGACTGCTTATTTACATTCTCAGCTACTGTCAGAAAATCTGGGTGTTTTTATTATAGCAGTCAAAGTAACTACTCTAAATATGTTTTATGCCTTAATAAAATTATCTTTCTACTAATTTTTCTCTAATATTAAAAAAATTTGCAGTATCAAAATATTTTTCCTTACACATGTGTACACATGCATGGTATTATAATCTTTGAATGGTAAAAATATGTGTATAATTATTTCATTTAAAGATAAACTTAGAAAAATTGTCCTATACATTTAATATCTATACTACTATAATTTATTGGAAATTCACTAATTTCTGCCACTTTGAAATGTTATCATAAATAATTAAATTGGAAATAAGAAAAAAATGTGTCCAGTAAAATATAAGTGCTCAAAATCTGATGTTTCAAAGTAAGAATAACATTAGGAATGTGGAGGTAGTCTTCCTGCTTATCTCTTCCTTTTTCTAATTAATTTAAAAAAAAGTTTAAAATTTTATCTTGGATTTATTACTATCATAATGCTCTATTCTTTATTCAGCAAAAACTCTAATTACAATGATGTCTATAAGAATATGTTTGTTCAGCCTATTTTATATTCATTCATTTAGTGTATGTTTCTACTTTTTAAATATTTTCATTATTGTGAAATATTTAATATTGTGAAACATAACATATATATATAAAGTATATAAAGTAATGAGGCCTAATGTACAGTAAAGAAAAAAATTATAGCATTAAGAGTCATGATTCCACATCATGGTCATAAAGTAGATTTCACCAGCAATCCAGACACTCTCCATATATGCCATCTTACTGATAACATTTCCCTTTTGTTTCCTCCATCCCTACCATCCCAATTGTTAGGATAATCACTCATATGTCTCACCTTAGAATTTCACCACCAGTGTAATAAATTTCAATTTATTAAAAATACATTTTTGTAAACTTTATATAAATGGAATTATACTGAATCATTTTTTCAAACTTAATTCCTCTCATATCTATGTAGTTCAAATTTCTTCATTTTTCTTTTTATTTATATTCTTTGTAAACATGTCACTCTAGCTGGTTCCGTTAGGACAACTAAATTCCTCTTTAAAGACTCAACTTTCCAGCCATAAGTTGTAAATGTTGTAAATGAATCCTACCTCCCACCCCTCTTTCTTTTTGCAAAATGTGCGTTTACCCTATTTGGAAAAGTTTAAGTCTAAGCCATTCAGGATCAGCTTAGATTGTGCAATCCAACCCCAGCCAATAAGGGAAGGACACAGAAACAGGAACTGTGTTAGGATTAAAAACTCCTTCCCTCCTTTGTTAGGTATGCTCTTCTCTTGGGATTGTAACAGGTGCAAGCAGCACCCTTCTGCCAACGTAAAGGTGCCTTGCTGAGAAATTGTCCAAGTGGGGATTTCTTTTGGCTACTCCGAGCACATGTCTCCAACAGTTCATTTTGATTGCTGTATAGTATTCTATTGTACAAGTATGCCATAATTTACTTATCCATTTTATCACTGATGGATATTTGAGAGACTTCTCAACTTTAGCTATTAAAACTCAGTGATATGCATGTGTGTGCACATATATTCTGATAACAGTGCAAATACTGGGTGTTCAAATGTGATCCATCAACTTAATCAGATAATGCCATAGTCAGACAAAGTAATTGCTCTGATTTACAATTCTAGGAGCAATGTATGAAAATTCCCATTGCTTCATATGCTTTCCAAAATAAGTAACATCAGACTAATTTTTACACTTTCGTATCTATATGAAACATTATAAACCTAACATTTTTGAAGCCTTTTTCTATTATAGTTCAGAATGTATCCTTAATTCAAAAATTATTACTCTTTTTAAATTCTATGACCATGATTTCATGCAAGTATATTAATAATGAATTATATACTTCATATATTTATTTATTCATATTATTAGCTTTTCTAATATTTTTTCTTAAAGATTTAAATACTCTTTTGTTATGAACGGGTATAACTATGCTAGACATATTTCCTTTAACCAAACATTATGTCAAATGACTTTGAGAAATATGATTAGTTAACAGCATACTGTAAGGCAAATTTCAGCATTGTTTAACAACTCCTTAAAAGGATTCAAAGAAAATAATAGGTTGAAATATCAAAATAGTCTATAAGTGTAATGTAGGTGCCCATGGGAAAATACAAACTACCATTAACGTTATGGAAAAAAAATGATTAGTAGTAAACATACCATGTCCGACTTTTTTTTAGGGCAGGACTAATATCAATGGGCAAGATTCCCTTTAAGGTCCTGACCTTAATTTCTATGTGCACCTGATTTCTGGTTGTGCAGTAATGTTCCTGTTCCTTTTAAGTTCTCTGACTAATGCCAAGCAGGAAACCACCGGAGCATGCTATTGAATGAGTTCAAGGCTATCTTAATGGAAAACATGATAATTTCCAAAACAGCTCAAATTAACTCCTATTCAAATACTATGTCCTTGTTATAAGATAAAAATTTTCATACTGATGTTGATGTGAAAGCTGAATTCTCATTTGCTAGCATGCAAATTAAGTCATATTCTTATTCATCATTTTGTAATTTTTTTCCTTGTTTAACCTCTATATAATTTGTATTCAGCAATGTCAGTTGTAAGGGAAATTTTCCAACCTAATACATAGATCATACATCAGATGCCTACACTGTTATATGTAGCTTGGTCAAAACTAGAATCATGACCCCTGTTGATTCATTTTTTCAACGCCGGATTTATGGAGAGTGAATCCCAACTTTTCCTACCAAAAGCGTCCAAGGTTTTCTTCGGAAGCCCAAGAAGGCCAATATTCCTTAAAATCTGGTTGCTGCCAACTAATAATTTTGTATAACTTATTATTAACAAGCTCATTAACATAAGCACTTTCACATGCACATATATACACCCCTGACGGTTGGGAAAAATTGTTGTCCTATAATTTCTAAAATGAAAAAGTAATTAATTTTCTTACTCAGGCTTTTCAGCCCATTTTCAATGTTTATCAAACTTAATCTCTCATGCTTAGGCCTTTGACTAAGTTATTCTCATGAGTCTAACACTTAAATCTTAGTTATTTAATTAAAATACTCAGAAATTTTATAACTATTCCTTGGACACTTAAAAAACATGTTTTCCATTGAAGAATCTACACTTCTCTATGTATGAATATCCAGCTTTATTTTTCCCTATTTATTTTTGATTACTAAATGGTTTAAGATGAATAGATATTAAAATCAGTCTCCAATCTTGGATTTTATATCTTTTCAGTTTTTACACTATAATGGTTTCTAAGAGGGGATCTTCGAGTCAGACTACAAAGACAGGAAACCAGATTCCCTGTTTCATACAGATATGATGTGAGACTCCATTTTACAACTACTGCCTGCCTCAGTATAATTACCTATAAAAAGCAGATAATAGGCTGGGCACGGTGGCTCAGGCCTGTAATTCCAGCACTTTGGGAGGCCGAGGCAGGTGGATCACCTGAGGTCAGGAGTTAGAAAACAGCATGGCCAACATGGTGAAACCCTGTCTCCACTAAAAATACAAAAATTTGCCAGTTGTGGTTGTGCATGCCTATGATCCTAGGTACTTGGTTGGCTGCGGCAGGAGAATCATTTGAACCCAGGAGACGGAGGTTGTAATTGGTCGAGATCACACCACTGCACTCCAACGGGGAGACAGAGCAACACCCTGTTTCAAAAAAAAAAAAAATGAAAGGAGATGAAAAAAAACTGGCTTTGTTTAATTTTGTTAGGAGTTAATATAATATACCCTTTGTATAACTACTTTCCATTTTACCTGTTTGCTATAGGCAGGAACCAAAGATTGTTAATTATTGATTTGATCCCTTTTTACTTGATATTTAAGATACCAGTGAGAACTTGCACTTCTTTTTTTTTTCTTCCTCCGAGACAGTCTCCGTTTGTTACCCAAGCTGGAGTACAGTGGCAGGATCATAGCCCACTGCAGCCTGGAACTCCTGGGCTCAAGCAATCCTCCTGCCTCAGCTTCCCAAGTATTTGGAACTATAGGCATGCACCACCCCGCCAGCTAATTTTTTAAATTTTTTGTAGAGACAGAGTTTCCATATGTTGCGAAGGGAACTCCTGCTCTCAAAAGATCCTCCCACCTTGGCCTCCCAAAGTACTAGGACTACAGGCATGCGCCATCACATCCAGCCTGCAGTGGGAGTTCTTGAAGGTCAGATGCTGCCCAGAGCTTCGGCTCATGTCTATCCCAAGGTGGATCTAACCAGTTTGTAGTTATTACCTCTTCCTGAATGTGTAATTGAAATGGATACGTATGGCAGCTGGCAGAACTATCACATTCTTCCTGAACTGTAGAGTAAGGAACATTATTATAGCAGGACCAAGGGGAAGCCTCTGAAATTCTCCTCCATTGGCAACACAATGTATAAAATATAATAACTGCATTCCCCAAGGAATGGAACTGGTCACTGTCATGACAAAACACTTGAAAGTTACAGGGGATGGTAGTCCTTTCTATAACCCGATTCACTTAACCTATCTGGCCTCTACCAAAGACAGACAGGTTATAGTGAATGCAGACTACCATAAACTTCAATCAACACTCACAAATGCTTTCCAGGATGTGCTATCTTCACTGAGCAGAGCAGAGCTTTTGATACTTTTTACGGGGCTCATGATTTGGTGAATGTTTGTTAATCTACACCCATTATGCAGGAAAATCAAAACAATTTGGCTTGTATTGTAAGAATAATAGCACTGCTTCACTGTTTTATGTCAGGGCTATGTCACTTCTGTTCTCAGTTTAATTTACATTTTTTAAAACATCGTGCTAATTTAATATATTAGTAATATTACAAACCGGGCCCTGTGGCACATGACTGTAATCCCAGCACTTTTGGAGGCCGACACAGACAGATCACTTCAGCCCAGGAGTTTGAGACCAGCCTGGGTAACATGGTGAAATCCTAGCCCTACAGGAAATACCAAAATTAGCCAGGCAAGGTGTTGTACCCCTGCAGTCCCAGCTGCTAGAAATGCGGAAGTGGGAGAATCACTTGAGCCCAGAAGGTTGAGGCTGTAATGAGGTGTGATCCTGCCACTGAACTCCAGCCTCAGGGATAGAATGAGACCCTGTTCAAAATAATAACAATAATAATAAAGTATTAGTTGGTACAATAATCAGGAAGTTGCAAGTTTATTAAATATAGTAAAATACCCTAATGTTGGATGGAAGTAAAATACCAGAAGACAAGAAATAAACCTGAGAAGATTCAGGGACCTACAGCATAGGTGATGTTTTAAGGTGTGCAGTGTCCCTAGGGCACATGTCAAAACAATCTTTTTTAAAGTAAATGGCATGTTGCTCTCTCTATGTACTTCCTATCACTACAAAAGAGATACAATGTTTTGGGGACCTATTGAGATTTTGGAGCCAACATATTCCACGTTTGAAAATATTGCTCTGACTCATTAATAAAGTTTCCAAAGGCTACTGGTCTCAAGTGGAACCCAGAACAAAAGAGGGCTCTACAGCAGATACAGGCTCTGGTCCAAGCTGCTATGGCCACTGTGCCAGATGATCCAGCAGAATTCAAAGCGACTAGAGCATTGTTTCACATTTCTTCCTGTCTCAATTTCCACATGTCCCTGCCATTTTTGTCTTGAACTTTACTTCTAAATAAATGTCATCACTTTCATTAACAGGTATTAATTAAAAACATTTTGGTCAAGTAGCTGGTTACTAACTCAATTTTTTGAAATGAAATGCCATTTTGTTTACCTAATAATCAACTAGAAAATATCATAACACAAATATATAATTCACAATAAAAAAATACTTATGCAAATAGACCAAAGTCTTTTATATGCTTTTTAAAGTATTGTCATAGGTGCCACCTAATTTTTTCTTTTCTTTTTTTTTTTTTGTCTGTCGCCCAGGCTGGAATGCAGTGGCGCGGTCTCGGCTCACTGCAAGCTCTGCCACCCACGTTCACGCCATTCTCCGGCCACAGCCTTCCGAGTAGCTGGGAATACAGGTGCCCACCACCACTCCCAGCTAATTTTTTTGTATTTTTAGTGGAGACGGGGTTTCACCATAGTAGCCGGGATGGTCTCGATATCCTGACCTCGTGATCCGCCCGCCTCAGCCTTCCAAGGTGCCATCTAATTTTGATGTTTTACCTTGTCTCCAATTCAGACACCTGACACAGCTGCATCAAGACTATATATCACTATATATATATATAGTGTGACTATATATCACTATATATATCACTAGTGTGATATTTCCCCTAAAATTGTGGAATAGCCAAACTTTTCCTCTGAGGAAGGATTCTGCTTGGATAAGCCTGAAACCTCAACCTGAGACCAGAACAGGGGAATTCATGCAACTGCAGATTTTGTGATGAGTTTCCTTTTCATTGATTTACCACATCAACTTATCCATTTTAGCCACCCATTTATTTGTTCATTAAAGTATCATTTTTGGCCATCTATTCTTGGTGCTGGGTTCTAGGTCCTGGGAATCAACAGAAAGCAAGACAGACATGATCTCTTTCTTTACAGTTCTTACATTGTACTGAGGAAGATATATGATTAAAAAATTACATAAATCAGGTGTGGGGATGATTTATCTTAAGGTTTAAATAACATTAAATAACATTGTTAAAACTTCATAACACCAAGAATTAATGTAGTCATATAGAATTTAGCTGTGAACAAGACTGTACATTTCTTTCTTATAATAGAACTTCCTGTTAATGAATATGTCAAAACACTTTCATCACTGACAACAAAATTACAATGGTAAGGCACATCCCATAATTAATACATAGATTTCATAGATACTATTTTAACATTTACAAAAAGTTTCACTGAATTATTTTCCATAATTTCTATACTATTTTTACATTGATAGTTTTTTTTTTTAGAAAAGAGAAGATTTGAGTTCTCTTATCTGAAGTTTAGAAGGAATTTTGTAAATGGAAGATGAGGATATAATTAGCAATTCAGGGGCTTAGAAGTGTCTTAGAAAAAAATACTAAAATAATTTACATCAGATCTCAACTTCAAAAACAGCTTTTCTTTAATTCAAAAGCTGGAAGAAATGACGTTTCTAACTGCGTATGGAAACCGATAATAGCAATCAAGACCATGATCATATTTCCTCCCTTTATTATCAAAGAGATTTTTTTCTAAGCTATTCACATACTTGCTTTAAATCTAGTATTCTTCAGTACTGTTTATGGTAGACATATATGAAATTTATTCTACCTATACTTGTCACTCGAATTCTATAGTGTGCATTGTTTACAATAATTCTGTTTGCTTTTTACTAACCATAAAATAGGAATTCATAATGGAATAAAACCCCAAAGATACATCCACATTATTGGTTTAGAATTGAATGACCTTACCATCCAATAAGATAGAGGTTCAAACAATGATTTCTAAGCACACTGTGGTATATTTGTGTGGTTCAAATAACAATAGAAAACAGCAATATCTTTCCTGAGATAAGCTGTTAGTTCTTAATAATTATAAATAGACATTGTAAATTCTACAAATGAAAGATAAAATACATGAATGAAATACACATGGCTTCATAATTCTGAGGAATTTTTGTCATATTTTGTATAATCTGGCAGTTCATATGAAAAAAACAAAAAAGAGTATGTTATTGTCAATGTTCTTAAGTTTTTCACACACACATACACACACACATACATACATTTTTTAGACTAGGTTAAAGATTTATCTAGGTATATGTTTGGAAATTATTCATACACATACATTACAGAAAACACTGTAAGAAATATAAAATGTTTCATACACCACCAGTTTGTTTTCTGCTAGAAGACACACAATGCCCCTCTTCTGAATCTATGGAGATGAAGGCTTCTCTCCTTTCACTCAGTACCTCATTTGCCACAAAACTGAAAGATAAGTCTGCTTTAGCTTCTTGTTTCCCCAAATCAGGATGAACGGGTGGGCTGAAGAACAGCTGAATCCAATAGCTTGGCAGAACATGAAGACAGGTTTGTTTTCCAGATTCTTAAAACTCCAAACTGATATTATTACAGACACAAAGTAAATGGCACGTAACAAGAAGAAGGAGATCACAGTTTGCAAAACTTTTATGTGGACCTTGGTACTGGGATCTTGAGATCCTTTGCCATGGAGCTGCATCTTCTTGAGATGTTTACACAGAGAACAGACTAACAGCAGAAAAGATATCAGGGTTACAGTAAAGGGTACTAAGTTTGCTAGCATGGTTACAGTCGTATCTGAAAGGTACATTGCACGCCTCAATTTGATCTTCCAAGTCATGTTTCCTTCATATTCTTTTGTCCATACAATCTGATTCATGTTTACCACAAAAAGATGACAAGCCAAAAATAGCAAAGGCCCCAACAGCACCACCAGAATGACACTCTTAACTCTCCTCTTTAAGCGAAGAAAAATAAGGTTGGAGAAATTGGCAATCTTGAGCAAATAAAATATGCTGAGGCTAGTAGCAGGCCAGTTGCTGAAATGGCCGGTTACTGCCCAGATATTATAAGCAGTAGTTCTTAATTCTACACTATAAAAAGCTGGATTCAACACAGTTGAATACCAATTTAATAATAACACCCAGAGCAAACCAACTCTGGAGACCGCCAGAGCAGTGACAATTTGGTCAGCAAAGGAGATCTTTTGTCTCTTCACCCACTCGGTGGAATTTACCAACGCTATGAAGCCATTAGCAAAATTTCCAATAACAAATGTAACCACTACTAGAATGGAAAATATGATGGGCAGAAAAGTTATCATGTCTGAACAGACAAAAAGAAATTTTTAAAATGCTGGTGTTGTATCCGGAGTTGGTTCCTGCAGGTGGGTTCGTGGTCTCGCTGACTTCAAGAATGGAGGCACGGACCTTTGCAGTGATGTTACAGCTCTTAAAGATGGCATGGCCCCAGGGCTGAGCAGTAGCAAGGTTTCAGCTCTTAAAGACTGTGTGGACCCAAAGACTGAGTGGTAGCAAGGTTTATTGTTAAGAGCAAAAGGACAAAGGTTCCACAGGGTGGAAGGGGGCCTGAGTGGGTTGCCCCGTGGGCTGCCCCGTGGGCTGGAATGGCCAGCTTTTATTCCCTTATTTGTCCCCTCCCATGTTCCATTTTTGTCCTATCAGAGTGCCCTTTTTTCAATCCTCCCTGTGATTGGCTACTTTTAGGATCCTGATGATTGGTGCGTTTTATGGAGCGCTGATTGGTGCCTTTTACAGAGAGCTGATTGGTGCATTTTACAATCCTCTGGCTAGCTAGAGTGCTGATTGGTGCATTTTTACAGAGTGTTGACTGGTGCATTTTATAATTCCCATGCTACCTAAAGAGTGCTGATTGGTGCATTTTATAATCCCCATGCTACCTAAAGAGTGCTGATTGGTGCCTTTTACAGAGCACTGATTGGTGCATTTTACAATCCCCTTGCTAGCTTCAGAATAGTTCTCCAAATCTCCACTCCACCCAGGAAGTCCAGCTGGCTTCACCTCTCAATGTAATATCACTGGTTGTGATTGCTTGAATATCCTGACCTTAAATTCTATATGCACCTAATTTGTAAATCTGCTGGGTCATTCTTTTTACTTTTAAACGTTGTGACCAGTGTCAAGCCAGAAATCACCATGGCGTGTTAACTGATGAGTTCAATGATCTCTTTATGGAAAACATTCTTATTTTCAAACAACTCAAATTAACTCATTCATTCACTGTTTGTTCTTGTTACAGGCTAGAATTATTCATACTGAAATTGACTGGAAACCTGAATCCTCATTTGCTAGTACACAAATAAGAATGTACTCTCTTTCAGAGTTTGCAATTTTTCTTTGTGTAACCTCTCCATCATTTGTGTTTAGCAACTTCAGTTGTTTGGGAAGTTTTATAACCCAATACATAGATCATATAGCAAATGTCTAAAGTCTTAAAGGGAGCTTGGTCACAACTAAGATCATTACCAATATGGACTTTTTAAAATGCCAGATTTGTATACACAGAATCCAAACTGCTTTTATCAAAAGCATCTAAGATTTTCTTGAGAACCACAGGCAGGCCAATACTCCATAAGATTTGGTTGCTGCTAATACTTTTGTATAACTTCATTATTCACAAGCTCATAAATATGAACACAAATACACGCATGTGCACACCACTTATGAATGGAACAAATTATTTTCTCATAATTTCCAAAATAAAAAATGAGTTTCCAAGAAGTTGTCCAGATGAAATTAGCCCTATTTTCCCACTCAAGAGTTTTCAGCCCATGAATAATATTTATTTATCAAACATATCTCTAATTCTTAGGCCTTTGGTAAAGTTTCTCTCAAGTCTAATGTTTAAATATTTATTATTATATAAAATATTTAGCCATTTTATAAGAATTCCTGAGTACCCGACCCTTTGGTATATAATCTTGCAGTATCCTCCTATCACAGGAAGACTGACTACCTTTCCCCTGAACTTGGAGTTCAATCATTTAACTTACTTTGATAAACAGAAAATTACTACACTTTGCATAGAGATTTGAGATGGCTTCCATACTGGGGATTCTTCCTCTTTCCATTTACCATGAGAATATCGCCTCGCAAGTACACTGTTCCCAGAAGGAGAATGAGAAAGTAATGTAGTCAGATTGCCCCCACCTGATCCAGACTAAATTGGCCAAACTCTATCTCCAAGATGCCGAATTTGGCCCATCTCAAATCACCAGAGCCATCCATCAAACCCAGCTTAGAAAAATGAAATCCAGGCCAGGTGTGGAGGAGGCTGAGGAGGGCAGATCACGAAGTCAAGAGATTGAGACCATCCTGGCCAACATGGTGAAACCCCATCTCTACTAAAAATACAAAAATTAGGTGGGCTCAGTGGAGTGTGCCTGTAGTCCCATCTACTCAGAAGGGTGAGGCAGGAGAATCGCTTGAACCCTGGAGGTGGAGGTTGCAGTGAGCCAAGATAGTGCCACTGCACTCCAGCCTGGGCAACAGAGTGAGACTCCATCTCAAAAAACAGAAAACACACACACACAAAAATGAAATCCAAAGACATGTGAGATATATATGTCTAATGTTTTAGAGGGTCTTCTCTTGCAGAAAAACATAACTGATAAAAGAACTCTGCTAAACCAAGAGTGTGGGAAATATGTACAACTTTGTTGTGTCAGGAATTGAGGAGCCGAAAGAAAAAATAGATGGGGAATGGCAAAGGTTTGTCCTGTGAGGTGGATAATTAAGGCTAGAAGAAATCCTTTGGAGAGATCTGCGCTTGGCAGATAACATCATCTCAAATTTCCTCATGATGCAACTAAATAAGAAAGTTCCTATTTCAACTATCTTAGAGTTGTATAAGAATGTATATACAACTAATTGATTTTTCCCTTCAGTATATAATCAGATGAGTAATAATAATTTCTATGAGACATTTCTCCTAATCAAAAACTTTAATATTAAAATTATAATGCACACTTAGAAATGAACCAAAACAAAAATGGGAAATACCGGAATGTATCATAAACAGTCAACTAACCCTTATAAAGGGCAAGAGATGGAACACCGAAAATAGGCTAAGTCCATCTCCATGCCACCCTCCTGACATGAAAATGGTAATGATTTTCTTCCTTTTGTAATACTTTGGTCAAAGAAGAGAATAAAACCAAGGTCTAGGCATCCTCCTGCAACTTGGAAGAAACTGGAAATTGATTTGATGTGAGGAGTTTTTTTGGATAGTAGCTTGTCTGTTGTGGGGTCATCACCACAAACTCTCCTCACAGGGAAATTCAGTGAGCAGCACTGGATCTCAAAATGTCATTTCAATTAATAAGACAAAGTATCTCCGCCACAGCTCCACCATTCTATTCCATGATATAAATTTTAAGCTGTTTTTATTAGCAGAAATCAACACTTCTTAGTTTTTAACAATCTTTAAAAGATCAAATAGTAAAACAGTACTTAAAACTTTATCAAAAAATGACGGCATTCTCAGCAAACTATCACAAATGCTTTTTCTCATTCTTAGCTATGGTGACTAAATCTGGATTATTTTACTACAGCAGTCAAAGTAGCATTATATGTGCACAAACATGCTCAAAGATCAGGCTAAATTATTTTTTATACCTTAAAAAATTTGCCTTTCTATGATTTTTTTCTCTAATGGACAGCCAAAAAATTTATAGTAACAAAAAATTTTACCCAACACACTGGTGTACACAGGAATAGTACAGTGAAATTAGAATGCTAACAATGTGAATATAAATATTTCATTTAGAGACACATTTTTAATACATTTAATTTAATATATTTAATATCCATCGTACTATAATTTATTGTAAATTCCTGAATTTCTTACACTTTCAAATGTGTATCATAAATAATTAAATTGGAAATAAGAAAAAAGGTGTCTATCAATCATGGATATTCAAATTTTGATGTTTCAAATTCATATTAGCACTAAGAAAGTGGATTAACAATTCTTGCCTATCTCTTCTTTTGTGTGAATTAATTTAAGTAATGTTTTGGGCCAGGTGTGGTGGCTCACACCTGTAATCCCATCATTTGGGAGGCTGAGGCAGGTGGATTGCCTAAGCACAGGAGTTCAAGACCTGCCTGGGCAACATGGCAAAACCATGTCTCTACAAAAAAATAGAAAAAATTAGCAGGGCGTAGTGGTGCACGCCTGTTGTCCTAGCTACTCTGGAGGCTAAGATGGGAGAATCACTTGAGCCAAGGTGACAGAGGCTGCATTGAGCCAAGATTGTTCTTGTGCACTCCAGCCTGGACAACAGAGTCAGATCCTGTCTCAAAATAAAAATAGAAAAGTTTTAAATTTTAACTTGGATTTCTTAGTACCATAATCCTCTATTCTTTATTCAGCAAAAACTCTAATTACAATGATATCTATAAGAATATGCTGCATCACCCTAATTTTACACTTAGAAATGTACTTTAGGTTTCTGCTTTTTTAACATTTTTTATTGTGGAGCAAAACATACATATACAGAGTAATAACAACTAATAAAGAGTAAGATAAAAAATTATAAGGTTAAAATTGATGTTACCATACCTTGGTAAGAAAATAGAATTTGCCATTGTATATTTAGAAAACCTAATCTTCTCTGCCCAAAATCTCCTTAAGCTGATAAGCAACTTCAGCAAAGTCTCAGGATACAAAATCAATGTGCAAAAATCACAAGCATTCTTATACACCAATAACAGACAAACAGAGAGCCAAATCATGAGTGAACTCCCATTCACAATTGCTTCAAAGAGAATAAAATACCTAAGAATCCAACTTACAAGGGATGTGAAGGAAATCTTCAAGGAGAACTACAAACCACTGCTCAATGAAATAAAAGAGGATACAAACAAATGGAAGAACATTCCATGCTCATGGATAGGAAGAATCAATATCATGAAAATGGCCATACTTCCCAAGGTAATTTATAGATTCAATGCCATCCCCATCAAGCTACCAATGACTTTCTTCACAGAATTGGAAAAAAACTACTTTAAAGTTCATATGGAACCAAAAAAGAGCCTGCATTGCCAAGACAATCCTAAGCCAAAAGAACAAAGGTGGAGGCATCACGCTACCTGACTTCAAACTATACTACAAGGCTATAGTAACCAAAACAGCATGGTGCTGGTACCAAAACAGAGATATAGACCAATGGAACAGAACAGAGCCCTCACAAATAATATGACACATCTACAACCATCTGATCTTTGGCAAACCTGACCAAAACAAGAAATGGGGAAAGGATTCCCTATTTAATAAATGGTGCTGGGAAAACTGGCTAGCCATATGTAGAAAGCTGAAACTGGATCCATTCCTTACACCTTATACAAAAATTAATTCAGGATGGATTAAAGACTTAAATGTTGGACCTAAAACCATAAAAACCCTAGAAGTAAACCTAGGCAATACCATTCAGGACACAGGCATGGGCAAGGACTTCATGGCTAAAACACCAAAAGCAATGGCAACAAAAGCCAAAATTGACAAATGGGATCTAATTAAAATAAAGAGCTTCTGCACAGCAAAAGAAACTACCGTCACAGTGAACAGGCAACCTACAGAAGGAGAAAATTTTTACAATCTACCCATCTGACAAAGGGCTAATATCCAGAATCTACAAAGAACTTAAACAAATTTACAAGAAAAAAATCAAACAACCCCATCAACAAGTGGGTGAAGGATATGAACAGACACTTCTCAAAAGAAGACATTTATGCAGCTAAAAGACACACGAAAAAATGCTCATCATCGCTGGCCATCAGAGAAATGCAAATCAAAACCACAATGAGATACTATCTCACACCAGTTAGAATGGCAATCATTAAAAAGTCAGGAAACAACAGGTGCTGGAGAGGATGTGGAGAAATAGGAAAAATTTACACTACTGGTGAGACTATAAACTAGTTCAAACATTGTGGAAGACAGTGTGGCGATTCCTCAGGGATATAGAACTAGAAATGCCATTTGACCCAGCCATCCCATTACTGGATATATACCCGAAAGATTATAAATCATGCTGCTATAAAGACACATGCACATATATGTTTATTGCAGCACTATTCACAATAGCAAAGACTTGGAACCAACCCAAATGCCCATCAATGATAGACTGGATAAAGAAAATGTGGCACATATACACCATGGAATACTATGCAGCCATAAAAAATGATGAGTTCACGTCCCTTGTAGGGACGTGGATGAAGCTAGAAACCATCATTCTGAGCAAACTATCACAAGGACAGAAAACCAAACTCCACGTGTTCTCACTCATAGGTGGGAACTGAACAACGAGAACACTTGGATACAGGGTGGGGAACATCACACTCTGGGGCCTGTTGTGGGGTGGGGGGAGGAGGGAGGGATAGCATTAGGAGATATACCTAATGTAAATGACGAGTTAATGGGTGCAGCACACCAACAAGCACATGTATCCATATGTAACAAACCTGCACATTGTGCACATGTACCCTAGAACTTAAAGTAAAATAAAAATAAATAAATAAATAAAATATTAAAAAAATGAACAAAATCTCGTGTTAAGCCATAGGACTATATTAAATGAATTCATACACAAATTTCTAAGCACACAATAAATGCTCAAGAATGTTAGTGGTATTACTGTTACTGTGGCTGTTTACTGTATTTTAACACTAAAGAAATTCCTCAAATAAAATTGGTGTTAAGTCATTGTGAGGTGCTTCAATATGTAATATTTTCTTTCTACAGTTCACTAAATTACTTTTTCTAGTAACCAGTTTCCTGGTTCTAATCAGATAATCACACATGTTTAGATGGGCTTGTGCAACCTAACTAGGCTACCCTGTTGCTGTACCACCACTACCACTCCCCCATCCAACTTTATTGAGTGCTTTTGATGTGGACACTAGGATGTTCCAGATTCACTTTATTTAGATATTTGATTCAACGGTGACCAACACAGTCAAAGATACTTCGCACAGATAAGATCCAAATGAAAGAGTAAAAAAAAAAAAAAAAAAAAAAGGAAGAAAATAGAATTTGCTAGCAATCCAGATACTCCCGATATATGTCTTCTTGTTGATATTTTCCTCCCTTCTGACTATCCCAAATTGTTATGATGATCACTCATATGATGATCACTCATATGTTTCACTGTAGGGTTTTATCACCAATGTAATGAATGACAATGTATTAAAAATAAAGTTTTTCAAACTTTACGTCGATGAGATTACAGTAAATGTATTTTTCCACCTTGATAATTCCTCTCACATCTGTGAGTATTATTATCTATGTAGCTCAAATTTGTTCATTTTCTTTGTTGTATTATTCTGTTGTAAACATGTCAGTCTTGTTTGTTAATTTTGATCACTGTACAGTATTCCACTGTATAAGTATGCCACAATTTCTTTATCCATTTGGAGGACTGAGACATTTGGAGGACTTCTCAACTTTAGCTATTGAAACTCAGTGATATGCATGTGTATGTATATGTATTCTGATAAGAGTGTAAATACTTGATCTTAGGATATGATCCTTCACCTTAATGAGATAATGCCATACTCAGCCGAAATGATGGCACAGATTTATAATTCTAGGAGTAGTGTATGAAAATTCCCATTGTGTCATATCCTTTCCAAAATAAATAATGTTGGGCTAATATATACATTTTTGTATTTATATAAAATATTATTAAACAATATTTTCCAAGTCCTTTTCTATTCTTATTCAGAATGTATGTTTACTTCAATGAATTACATTAATCTTTTTCATTCTATGACTATTTCATATACACTTATTAATAATGCCTTATATATTATACATATTTATTTATATTTCATTATAAATTGTCTAACCTTTTTCTTCAAATTTCAAATACTCTTGTTATAAGTAACTGTAATTATACTGGAGATACTTCCTTTAATCAATCATTGTGTCAGATGACTTTGAAAAAATATAATTAGTTAACAGCATACAGTAAGGGAAATTTCAGGATTGTTTAACAACTCTTAAAAGGACTCAAAGAAAAAAAGTTGAAAAATAAAAAGAGTCTATAAGTTTAATGTAGGTGTCCATGGGAAAATATAAATATATTATTGTTGAAGAAAAAATGATTGGTAGTAAATTTATCATGTCTGAATTTTTTTAAAGGCAAGCCTGATATCACTGGTCAAGATTTCCTTTAAGGTCTTGACCTTAACATCTATGTGTACCTGATTCCTGAATTTGCAGGAATGTTCTTGTTCCTTTTTAAATTCTGTGACCAATGTCAAACAGGAAAGCATCTCAATATGCCAGTGGATGAAATCAATGCTGTCTTTATGGAAAACATGATGATTTCCAAAACAGCTCAAATTAACTCCTATTCAAACACAATGTCCTTGCTGTAAGATAAAATTTTCCATATTGGTGTTGAAGTGAAAAGTGATTTCTCATCTACTAGCATGCCAATGAAGAGTTTTTTAATTGTTCTGCACTTATTTCTTTGTTTAACCTCTCCACAATTTGTGTTCAGCAACTTCAGTTGTTAGAGAAATTTTACAACCTAATACAGAGATGACACACTGGTTGTATAACCTGGTAAAGGGAGCTTGGACATAACTAGGATCATCACCAAAGTAAATTTAATTTTTCAACGTGAGTAATATGTAGAGTGAATCCAAACTTTTCCTAGCAAAAGGATTCAAGTTTTTCTTGGGAATCTCAGAAAGGCCAATAATTCTTAAAACCCGGTTGCTACTAATACTTTTGAATAACTTATTCTTAAGAAGCTCATTAATACAAACACACTCAAACCCATACACACATACTCACTCACTCATGGATAGAAGAAATTGTTGTCCTATAATTTCCAAAATGGAAAATTAATTTCAGGGACATCATCCAGGTAAAAATAGCCCTATTTTCCCATTTGGGCTTTTCAACCCATTTTCAATATTTTTCAAACTTATCTCTCATGCTGAGACCTTTGACTAAGTTTTTCTCTTGAGTTTACTTAATTGTTAAATATTAATTTTTTAGTTAAAATACTCAGCAATTGTGTAACTATTGTGGGCTACTTAAAAAACACGTTTTCCATTGAAGAGTCTAGATCTTCATATATGAATATTTGGTTTTATTTTTCTCTATTTAATTTATTTTTGATTACTTAATTTATTTTTGATTACTTAATGGTTTAAGAGGAATCGATGTTAAAATCAGTCTCCAATCTTGGATTTTATTTCTTTTCCATTTTTACAGTATAATTGTTTCTAACAGAAGATTGTGGAGTCAGACTGCCAAGACAGGAAAGCAGATTTTCTGCTTCAAATATGGTCTGAGACTTCATTTGACAACTACTCTCTGCCTTGGTATAATCATCTGTAAAATGCAAATGATAATAATATTCTCTTCAGGTAGTCTTTATGAGGAGTTAGTATACTAGTTGTATAACTGCTTTCAATTTTATCTGTCTAGTACAGGCAGGAACCAAGAATTATTAATTTTTTGTATGATCGTGTGTTACTTGATACATAAAAGATAACCAGTGAGACCTTCTTTTTTGGGGTAGGGGAGCGAGAAAGACAGGGTCTTACTCGTCACCCAGGCTGGAGTGCAATGGCTTGATCACAGCTCACTCCAGTCTCAAACATTTGTGTCCTCCCACCTCAGCTTCTGGAGTAGCTGTGTCTACAGGCATGCATCACAACACCCAGCTAATTTATTAATTTTTTTGTTGAGACAGAGTCTCCCTATGTTGCCCAGTCTGGTCTTCAACTCCTGTTCTCAAGTGGTCCCCTCATCTTGGCCTCCCAAAGTGCTTGGATACAGGTGTGAACAACCACACGTGGCTGAGAACTTCCATTTTTGGGCAGAATGCACAAGGTTCAGAAAAGCATGATACCTTCTGCTACAATTAAGATAAGAGAAATAAAAGGCCAAAATTATATTTTCAATTTGTCACAGAGTTGTACAAGCAAGAATGACCAGCTGAACTGAAATCCAGCACAGGGAGAGTCTTTATAGATTGCAGTTATATATTCAGTGCAATCCCTATCAAATCCCAGCAGATGTTTTATCACAGAAAGTGGAAAACTACTCCTAAAATGTGTCTGGAAATGCCAAGTGACAAGATCACAAAAAGAAATTGTTAAAAAATAACAAATTTGGAGGATTACACTTTCTGATTTCAAAGCTTCCTTCAAAGCTGCACGAATCAGGATTCTATGGTACTCGCATTAGGGTAGACAAAAAGAACAATGAAACACAACTGAGAGTCCAGAAATTAACACCAACATTCATGGTCAATTGATTTCAAAAAAGGGACTACTGCAATTTGATAGGAATTAATGGTTTTTCTCAACAAACAATGCTGGGTAAAATTGAAGAAGACTACCTCAAAGAATTTAATAATCAATTTCCCTAAGCTCAAGGATAAAGAAAGGATTCTGAAAGCAGCAAAAGAAAAGGAACAAATAATGTACAATGGAGCTCCACTACATGTGGCAGCAGACTTTTCAGTGGAAAAAGGCCAGGAGAGAGTGGTATGACATATTAAAAGTGCAGAGAGTGGTATGACATATTAAAAGTGCTGAAGAAAGAAAACTTTCAGCCTAGAATAGTGTAACTGGAGAAAATATCCTTCAAACGTGAAAGAGAAATAAAGACTTTTCCAGACCAACAAAAGCTGAGTGATTTCATCAGCACCAGATCTCTCCTAGAAAAATTTCAAACGGATTACTTCAGTCAGAAAGAAAAGGACATTAATGGGCAATAAGTAATCACTTGAAGCTATAAAACGTACGGGTAATAGTAAGGAGACAGAAAACACAGACTAATATAACACTGTAAATGTGGTGCATAAACATCACTTAAATAGAAAAACTAAATGATGAAGTAATAATGAAAAAAAATAGTGGAGTGGCTGGCAAAATGTCCTAATAGGAACAGCTCCAGTCTGCAAATCCCAGCAAGATCAACACAAAAGGTGGGTGATTTCTGCATTTCCAACTGAGTTACATGGCTCATCTCATTGGGACTGGTTAGACAGCAGGTGAAGCCCACGGAGGACGAGCCAAAGGAGGGTGTGGTGTTGCCTCACCCGGGAAGTGCAAGGGGTCGGGGAACTCCCTCTCCTAGCCAAGGGAAGCTGTAAGGGACCATGCAGTGAGGGACGATGTATTCTGGCCCAGATACTACACTTTCCCCATGGTCTTCGTAACCCACAAACCAGGAGATTTCCTCCAGTGTTTATGCCACCAGGGCCATGGGTCTCAAGCATAAAACTGGGCGATCATTTGGGCAGACACCAAGCTAGCTGCAGAAGTTTTTTGTCATACCCCAGTGGTGCCTGGAATGCCAGCAAGACAGAACCATTCAGTCCCCTGGAAAGGGGGCTGAAGCCAGGAAGCCAAGTTGTCTAGCTCAGTGGATCCCACCTCCTTGGAGCCCAGCAAGCTAAGATCCACTGGTTTGACATTCTCACTGCTAGTTTAGCAGTCTGAAGTCAACCTGGGATGCTTGAGCTTAGTCAAGGGAAGGACGTCCGCCATTACTGGGGCTTGAGTAGGCAATTTTCCCCTTACGGTGTAAACAAAGCCACCAGGAAGTTCAAACTGGGTGGAGCCCACAGCAGCTCTGCACAACCACTGTAGCCAAACTGCCTCTCTAGACTCTTCCTCTCTGGTCAGGGCATCTCTGAAAGAAAGGCAGCAGCTCCAGTCAGGGGCTTATAGATAAAACTCTCATCTCCCTGGGACAGAGCACCTGGGAGAAGGGGCAGCTGTGGGAGCAGCATCAGCAGACATAAACTTTCCTGCCTGACACTCTGAAAAGAGCAGCAGATCTCCCAGCACAGCACTTGAGCTCTGCTAAAGGACAGAGTGCCTCCTTAAGTGGGTCCCTGACCTCTGTGCCTCCTGACTGGGAGACATCTCCCAGCAATGGTGGACAGAAACCTCATACAGGAAAGCTCTGCCTGACATCTGGCGGGTAACCCTCTGGGATGAAGCTTCCAGAGGAAGGAACAGGCAGCAATATCTGCTGTTTTGCAGCCTCCACTGGTGATACCCAGGCAAACAAGGTCTGGAGTGGACCTCCAGCAAACTACAGCAGACTTGCAGCAGAGGACCCTGACTGTTAGAAGGAAAATCAACAAACAAAAAGGAATAGCATCAACATCAACAAAAAGGATGTACACACAGAGACCCCATCTGAAGGTCACCAACATCAAAGACCAAAGGTAGAAAAATCCATGATGATGAGGAAAAACCAGGGCAAAAAAGGCTGAAAATTCCAAAAACCGGAAGCCTCTTCTCTTCCAAAGGATCACAACTCCTCACCAGCAAGGGAACAAAACTGGACAGAGAATGAGTTTGATGAATTGACACAAGTAGGCTTCAGAAGGTGGGTAATAAACTCAACTGAGATAAAGAAGCATGGTCTAACCCAATGCAAGGGAGCCAAGAACCTTGAAAAAAGGTTAGAGCAATTGCTACCTGGAATAACCAGTTTAGAAAAGAACATAAATGACCTGATGGAGCTGAAAAGCACAGCATGAGAACTTTGTGAAGCATACACAAATATCAATAGGTGAACCAATCAAGCGGAAGAAAGGATATCAGACATTGAAGATCAATTTAATGAAATAATGCATGAAGATGAGATTAGAGAAAAAACAATGAAAAGGAACAAACAAAGCCTCAAGAAATATTGGACTATGTGAAAAGACCAAACCTATGATTCACTGGTGTACCTGAAAGAGATGGGGATAATGGAACAAAGTTGGAAAACACTCTTCAGGATATTATCCAGGAGAACTTACCCAACTTAGCAAGACTGGCCAACATTCAAATTCAGGGAATACAGAGAACACCACAAAGATACTCCTTGAGAAGAGCACCCAAAAACACTTAATAGTCAGATTCACCAAGGTTGAAATGAAGGAAAAAATGTTAAGAACAGCCAGACAGAAAGGCTGAGTCACCAAAAAGAGAAGCCCATCAGACTAACAGCAGATCTCCTGGCAGAAACCCTACAAGCCAGAAGAGAGTGGGGACATTCTTCGAGAAAAGGATTTTCAACCCAGAATTTCATAGCAAGCCAAAAAGCTTCATAGTTGAAGGAGAAATAAAATCCTTACAGACAAGCAAATGCTAAGAGATTTTGTTACCACCAGGCCTGCCTCACAAGAGCTTCTGAAGCAAGCACTAAATGTGGAAAGGAAAAACCAGTACCAGCCACTTCAGAAAAACACCAAATTGTAAAGACCACTGGCACTATGAAGAAACTACATCAACTAATGAAGCAAAATAACCAGCTAGCATCATAATTATAGGAAAAAAATCACACATAACAATATTAACCTTAAATGTAAATGGGAAAAATACCCCAATTAAAAGGCACAGACCAGCAAATTGAATAGAGTCAAGACCCATTGTTGTGCTGTATTCAGGAAACCCATCTCATGTGCAAAGACACAAATAGTCTCAACATAAAGGGATGGAGGAATATTTACCACACAAATGGAAAGCAAAAGAAAGCAGGGGTGGCAATCCTAGACTCTGATAAAACAGACTTTAAACCAACAAAGGTCAAAAAAGACAAAGAGGAGAATTACATAATGGTAAAGGAATCAACGCAACAAGAAGAGCTAACTATCCTAAATATATGTGCACCCAATACAGGGGCACCCAGATGCATAAAGCAAGTTCTTAGAGACCTACAAAGAGACTTAGACTCCCACACAATAATAGTGAGAGACTTTAACACCCCACAGTCAATATTAGACAGATCAATGAGACAGAAAATTAACAAGGATATTAGGACTTGAACTCAGCTCTGGACCAAGCTGACCTAATAGACATCTACAGAACTCTCCACCTCAAATCAACAGAATACACATTCTTCTCAGCACCACATCACACTAATTCTAAAACTGACCACATAAGTGGAAGTGAAACACTCCTCAGCAAATGCAAAACAAAATAAATCATAACAAACAGTCTCTCATACCACAGTGCAATCAAATTAGAACTCAGGATTCAGAAACTCACTCAGAACTGCACAACTACATGGAAACTGAACAACTTGCTCTTGAATGACTACTGAGTAAATAACGATATTAAGACAGAAATAAATAAGTTCTTTGAAACCAATGAGAACAAAGACAAAATGTACCAGAATCTCTGGGACACAGCTAAAGCAGTGTTTAGAGGGAAATTTATAGCACTAAATGCCCACAGGAGAAAGTGGGAAAGATCTAAAGTTGACACCCTAGCATCACAATTAAAAGAACTGGAGAAGCAAGAGCAAACAAATTTAAAAGCTAGCAGAAGACAAGAGATAACTAAGGTCAGAGCACAACTGAAGGAGATAGAAACACCTAAAACCCTTCAGAAAATCAATGAATCCAGGAGCTGGTTTTTTGAAAAGTTCAACAAAATAGAAAGACAGCTAGCCAGACTAGTAAAGAAGAAAAGAGAGAATAATCCAATAGACACAATAAAAAAATAATAAAGGAGATATTACCACTGACTTCAGAGAAATACAAACTATCATCAGAGAATACTATAAACACCTCTATGCAAATACGCTAGAAAATTTAGAAGAAATGGATAAAATACTGGACACATACAACATCCCAAGTCTAAACCAGGAAGAAGTCAAATCCCTGAATAGACCAATAACAAGTTCTGAAACTGAGACAGTAATTAATAGCCTAGCAACCAAAAAAAGTCCAGGAACAGACATACTCACAACCAAATTCTACCAGAGGTACAAAGAGGAGATGGTACCATTCTTTCTGAAACTATTCAAAACACTGGAAAAAGAGGGACTACTCCTTAACTCATTTTATGAGGCCAGCATCATCCTGATTCCAAAACCTGATAGAGACACAGCAAAAAGAGAAAATTTTAGGCCAATATCCTTGATAAACATCGATGCGAAAATCCTCAATAAAATACTGGCAAGCCAAATCCAGCAGCATATAAAAAGGCTTATCCACCAAGATCAAGTCGTCTTCAACCCTGGGATGCAAGGCTGGTTCAACATATGCAAATCAATAAACATAATCCATCACATAAACAGAACCAATGACAAAAACCACATGATTATCTCAACAGATGCAGAAAAGGCCTTTGATAAAATTCAACATGCCTTCATGCTAAAAACACTCAAGAAACTAGGTACTGATGGAATGTATCTCAAAATATTAAGTGCTATTTATGACAAACCCACAGCCAATATACTGAATGGGCAAAAACGGGAAGCATTCCCTTTGAAAATCGGCACAAAACAAGGATGCCATCTCTCACCACTCCTGTTCAACATAGTATTGGAAATTCTGGCCAGGACAATCAGGAAGAGAAAGAAATAAAGGGTATTCAAATAGAAAGAAAGGAAGTCAAACTGTCTCTGTTTGCAGATGACAGGATTGTATATTTAGAAAAACCCATCATCTCAGCCCCAAATCTCCTTAAGCTGATAAGCAATTTCAGCAGTCTCAGGATAAAAAATCAACATGCAAAATTCACAAGCATTCCTATACACCAATAACAGACAAACAGAGAGCCAAATCATGAGTGAACTCCATTTCACAATTGCTACAAAGAGAATAAAATACCTAGGAATACAGCTAAGAAGAGATGTGAAAGATCTCTTCAAGGAGAACAACAAACCACTTCTCAAGGAAATAAGAGAGGACACAAACACATGGAAAAACATTTCATACCATTGACTTTCTTCAAAGAATTGGAAAACACTACTTAGAAATTCACATGGAACCAAAAAAGAGCCCGTGTAGTCAAGACAATCCTAAGCAAAAAGAACAAAGCAGGAGGCATCACACTACCTGGCTTCAAAGTATACTACAAGTCTACAGTAACCAAAACAGCATGGTACTGGTACCAAAACAGATATATAGACCAATGGAACAGAACAGAGGCCTCAGAAATAATGCCACACATCTACAACCATCTGATTTTGACAAACCTGACAAAAAACAAGCAGTGAGGGAATGGATTCCCTATTTGATAAATGGTGTTGGGCAAACTGGCTAGCCTTAGGCAGAAAACTGAAACTGGACCCCTTCCTTACACATTATACAAAAATTAATTCAGGGTGGATTAAAAACTTAAATGTAATATCCAAAACCATAAAAACCCTAGAAGAAAAGCTAGGCAATACCATTCAGGACATAGGCATGAGCAAAGACTTCATGACTGAAACACCAAAAGCAATTGCAACAAAAGACAAAATGTACAAATGGAATCTAATTAAACTAAAGAGCTTCTGTACAGCAAAAGAAACTATCATCAGAGTGACAGGCAACCTACAGAATGGGAGAAAATTTTTGCAATCTATTAAACAAACAACCCCATCAAAAAGTGGGTGGAGGATATGAGCAGACACTTCTCAAAAGAAGACATTTATGTGCCCAAGAAAATATGGGAAAGAAAGAAGCTCATCATCACTGCTCATTAGAGAAATGCAAATCAAAACCACAATGAGATACCATCTCATGACAGAATGGTGATCATTAAAAAGTCAGGAAACAACAGATGCTGGAGAGTAGGTGGAGAAATAGGAATGCTTTTACACTCTTGGTGGGAGTGCAAATTAGTTCAACCATTGGGGAAAACAGTGTGGTGATTCCTCAAGGATCTAGAACCAGAAATACCATTTGATCCAGCAATCCCATTACTGGGTACATACCCAAAGGATTATAAATTATTCTACTATAAAGACACATGCACATGTATGTTTATTGCAGCATTGTTCACAAGAGCAAAGACCTGGGACCAACCCAAATGCCCATCAAATATAGACTGTATAAAGAAAATGTGGCACATATGTACCATGGAATACTATGCAGCCATAAAAAAGGATGAGTTCATGTCCTTTGCAGGGACCTGGATGAAGCTGGAAACCATCATTCTCAGCAAACTAACACAGGAACAGAAAACCAAACACCACATTATCACTCATAATTGGGAGCTAAACAATGAGAACACATGGACACAGGGAGGACACAGGGAACGTCACACAACTGGGCCTTTTAGGGTGAGGGGGGCTAGGGATAGCATTAGGAGAAATATCTAATGTAGATGATGGGTTGATGGGTGCAGCAAACCACCATGGCACATGTACACCGATGTAACAAACCTGCACGTTCTGCACATGTATCCCAGAAGTTAAAGTATAATTAAAAAAATAATAGCCACAACAACCTTTGAATACATACACAGTACAATAAGAAATAAATAGTGAAAACAGAAAGTTAAAAATGAAGAAGATGGAGTTAAGGTGCAGAGTCTTCATTTGTTTTGTTTTTGTGCTTGTTTGTTTGCTTATGCGAACAGTGCTAAGTTGTTATCAGCTTGAAATAATGGGTTAGAGGGTAGTATTTGCAAGCCTCATGGTAATCTCAAACCAAAAAGCATAGAATGGATACACAAACATAAAAAGCAAAAAACTATATTATATCACCAGAGAAAATAACCTTCACTAAAGAAAAATAGGAAGGTAGGAAAGAAAGACGAGCAGACCACAACATAACCAGAAAACAAATAACAAAATGACAAAAGTAAGTCCTAACTACCAATACTAACATTGAATGTAAATGGACTAAACTCTCCAATCAAAAGACATAGTCTGGCTAAATGGAAAAACAAACAAACAAACAAAACACCAATCTGTTGCCTCTAAGAAACACACTTTGTCTATAAAGACATGCACAGAAAGAAAACAACGGGATGGAAAAAGATAATTCATGGCAATGGAAGCCAAAAAAAGTGGAGTACCTATACAAGTATTAGACAAAATAGAGTTCAAGACAAAAACTATGAGGAGATAAAGGTCACCATATAATGATAAAGGGGTCAATTCATCAAAATGATATTGCAATTGTAAATATATATGCACTCAACACTGGAGCACCCAGATATATAAAGCAAATACTATTAGACCAAAGCAAAGAGAAAGCCTCAATACAATAATAGATGGAGACTTCAACACTCCACTTTCAGCATCAGACAGATCCTCCAGACAGAAAATCAACAAAGAAACATCAGACTTAATCTGCAGTATAGAACAAATTGATTACAGATATTTACATAACATTTCATCCAAAAGTTTCAGAATAAACATTCTTTTCCTCAGCACATGGATTTTTCTCAAGGATAGACCATATGTTAGATCACAAAACAAGTCTTGAACAATCCAAAAAATTGAAATATTACCAAGCATCAACTCTGACCACAATGGAATAAAACTAGAACTCAATAACAAGAGGAATTTTGGAAACTATACAGACACATGGAAATGAAACAATATGCTCCTGAATGACCAGTAGGTCATCAAAGAAATTTAAAAGGAAATTGAAAAAATGCTAGAAACAAATGATAGTGGAAACACAACATACCAAAATCTATGAAATACAGCGAAAGCAATACTAAGAAGGAAATTTATAGCTATAAGGGCCTACATCAGAAAAGAAGAAAAACTTGAAATAAACAACCTAAATGTGTATCTTAAATAACTGAAAAAACAAGAGTAACCCAAGCCCAAAATTAGTAGAAGAACACAAATAATAAAAATTACAGCAGAAATAAATGAAATTGAAATGAAGAAAACAATACAAAAGATCAATGAAACAAAAACCTGTTTTCTTGAAAAGTTAAACAACATTGACAAACGTTCAGGCCGACTAAGAAAAAAAGATCAAAATTAATAAAATCAGACATGAAAGCAGAGATATTACAACTGATACCACTGAAATTCAAAGAATTATTAGTGACTACTATGAGCAACTATATGCCAATAAATTGAAATCTCTAAAAAAATGGAAAAATTCCCAGGCACATACAACCTACAAAGATTGAACCATGAAGAAATCCAAAACCTGATAAGACCAAAAACAGGTAATGAGATTAATTCTGCAATAAAAAGTCTCCCACTTTAGAAAAAACAAAACAAAACAAAACAAACAAAAAACAAAAAACAAAGCCTGGGAGCAGATGGCTTTAGAGCTGAATTCTACCAAACATTTAAAGAATAACTGATACCAATCCTACACAAACTATTCTGAAAAACAGAGGAAGAGGGAATACTTCCAGGCTCATTCTTGAAATTCTTGTTACCCTGATACCAAAACCAGACAAAGACACATCTAAAAAGGAAAACAACAAGCACATATCTCTGATGAATATTGATTCCAAAGTCTCAATACTATACTAGTGAACCAAATTAAATAATACATTAAAAAGATATTTCCTCATGAACAAGTGGGATTTATCCCTAGGATGCAAGGATAGTTCAACATACACAAATCAATCAATGTGATACATCATATATACAGAATGAAGGTCAAGAACCATATAAACGTTTTAATTAATGCTGAAAAAGCATTTGATAAGATTCAACATTCCTTCATGATAAAAACCCTCAGAAAACTGGATATAGAAGGAAAATCTCAACATAATAAAAATCACATAAAAAGACCCACAACTAGTATCATACTAAATTGGGAAAAACTAAAAGGCTTTCCTCTAAGATCTGGAACATGACAAGAATGCTCACATTCACTACTATTATTCAACATAATAGTAGAAGCTCTGGCTAGAGCAATCACTCAAGAAAAATAAAGAGCATCCACATAGGAAAGGAACAAGTCAAATTATGCTTGTTTGTAAACAATATGATCTTATATTTGTAAAACCTGAAGACTGTACCAAAAACTATTAGAATTGATAAACAAACTCAGTAAATTTGCAGAATACACAATTAACATAAAAAATTAGTAGTATTTCTACATGCCAATAGTGAACAATTTGAAAACAAAATCAAAAAAGTAATCCCACTTACAAAGGTCACACATAAAATTAAATACCTGAAAATTAACTCAGCCAAAGAGATGAAATAGCTCTATAATGAAAACTATAAAACTCTAATGAAAGAAATGGAAAAGGACACCCAAAAAAAGAAAAGATAGTCCATGTTCATGGATTAGAAGTATCAACATTGTTAAAATGGCCATACTACCCAAAGAATCTACAGATTCAATGCAATTCCTATCAAAATACCAAAAACATTCTTCACAGAAATAGAGAAAACAATCCTAAAATTTATATAGAGCCACAACTGACCCAGAATAGCCAAAACTATCCTAAGAAAAAAGAACAAAACTGAAGGAATCATGTTACTTGACTTCATATGATACTTACTACTGAGGCTACAGAAACCAAAACAGCATGTACTGGCATTAAAACTGACACATAGAACGATGGAACAGAACAGACAACTCGGAAACAAACCCACACACCTACAGTGAACTCATTTTTGAAAAAGATGCCAAGAACATACACTGGAAAAAGACAGTCTCTTCAATAAATGGTGCTGGGACAACTGAATATCCATATGCAGAAGAATGAAACTAGGCCCATATATCTATACAAATATCAAATCAAAATGGATTAAAGATGTATGATTAAGATCTCAAACCATGAAGCTCCCATAAGAAAACATCAGAGAAACTCCCCAGGACATTGGTTTGAGCAAAAATTTCTTAAGTAGTAATACCCTACAAGTACAGGCAACCAAGTAAAAAATGCACAATTGGGATCACATCAAGTTAAAAAATACTTCTGCACAGCAAAGTTATGATCAACAAAGTGAAGAGACAATCCACAGAATAGGAGAAAATATTTGCAAACTACTCATCTGGCAAGGGATTAATAACCAGAATATAAAAGGAGCTTAAACAACTGTATAGGAAAAAAAATCTAACAATCTGATCAAAAAAATGGGTGAAATATTTGGATAGTCATTTCTCAAAACAAGATATACGAATGTCAAACAGACATGTGAAAAGGTGCTCAACATCATTGATCATCAGAGAAATGCAAATCAAAACTAAAATAAGATATCATCTCATCCCAGTTAAAACAGCTTATATACAAAAGACAGGTAGTAACAAATGCTGGTGAGGATGTGGAGAAACGGGAACCACTGTACACCGCAGGTGGGAATATAAATTAGTAAAACCACTATGGAAAACAGTTTAAAGGTTTCTCAAAAGACTAAAATTAGAGTTACCATATGATCCAGCAATCTCACTGGTGGGTATATACCCAAAAGAAAGGAAGTAAGTGTATCAAACAGGTATCCACACTCCCATGTTTGTTGTAGCACTGTTCACAATAGCCAAGATTTGGAAGCAATCAAAGTGTCCAGCAACAGATGAATAGATAAAGAGAAGGTGGTATGGCCGGGGGCGGTGGCTGACACCGGTAATCCCAGCACTTTGGGAGGCCGAGGTGGGTGGATCATGAGGTCAAGAGATTGAGACCATCCTGGCCAACATGGTGAAACCCCATCGCTACTAAAAATACAAAAAAATTAGCTGGGCGTGGTGGCTGGCGCCTGTAGTCCCAGCGACTCAGGAGGCTGAGGCAGGAGAACCACTTGAACCTGGGAGGCTGAAGTTGCAGTGAGCTGAGATTGCGCCACTGCACTCCAGCCTGGAGACAGAGCGAGACTCCATCTCAAAAAAAAAAAAAAAAAAAAAGAGGGAGAGAGAATGTGGTACATATACACAGTGGAGTACTATTCAGCCATTTAAAAAATGAGATCCTGTCATTTGCAGCAATACGGATGGAATTGGAGATTATTATGTTAAGTTGAATAAGTAAAAAATAACTGCAATGTTTGTGCAGAAAGGCAAGCATTGCACTTTCTCACTCATCTGTGGTATCTAAAAATCAAAACAATTGAACTCGTGGACATAGAGAGTACATAGATGGTTAACAAAGGCTAGGAAAGGTAGTGGGGGCTAAAGGGAAGGTGTGGCTGGTTAATGGCTACCAAAAAAAAAAATAGAAAGAGTGAATGAGACCTACTATTTGATACCACAGCAGAGTGACTATAGTCAATGATAATTTAGCTGTACATTTTAACGTAACTAAAAGAGTATAACTGGATTGTTTGTAACAAAAAAGAGTAAATGTTTGAGGGGATGGCTACCCCATTCTTATGTGATTATTACTCTTTGCATGCCTGTATCAACACATCCCGTGTACTCAATATAGACCTACTATATATCCACAAAACTTAAAAATACATTTAAAAAAAAGAAATTCCTAAACTTCCCATACCTGTTTACTGATAAGGTAAACTAATATGCCCACATAATGTTAAAATACCAAAAAATGTAAAATTATGTTTTCAAACAAACTGAATACAAATTATGAAAAATTCCACATATTGACAGTAATTATTTTCTGTAGCCTATTGTCTTAAATTTAATTTCCAAGATTCCTAGTTCAAGACCTTAGACTAATATTAGATTCAGTGACTTCATGAAAATCTTTGGATAATTACTAGTTAAGATGGAATACTGAAATGTGGTCACCAATCACGGGTTATATAAATAAATAACTAAATGTAACTTTTATATTTTATGGACTGGCTATTTGTTTGGATTACATTAACAAACATGGGAGTTTTGTATGCCAATTCAAGCAAGTGTAAAAAGGATATATATGACTATAGAAAGTTGTAATATATGTGCTTGAGAATTTTGCACATCTGCCAAAATACTTATTTTTAATAGTCCTCAATTACATAACTTCCAGTTTCCTCTTTGAAAGAGAATTACTTTGATTAATGTAATGAATAAAAGTAGGAGTTAGAACCATGGTAGAAACAAGAATGGACAAGGAATATGACTGTTATGAAAGGTAATGGAATGTAGTTTGGGTTTTCAAGAAAAGAGTATCTTTGCCTAAAGTAATGTGTTTTGTTGCTATTTCTGTCCTCACTGTGCTTGATGATAACTGAAATCAATTTTATTATTTTAGCTGGGCTTCATGAAGTCTGCCTATACATGTGTGGTGTAGGGACCAGACAAAGCTTTGGATAGTCTATAGTCAGAAGCTGGGGCTCCCCTTTTCTGGACTTCTCCTTTCTCAGATTTTCTCCTGACCTCCTGCGGCTCATGTTACCCTAAACTCAGTCCTCTGTTACTTCAACCCAGTAACTCTACAGCTTTTTTACTGACGTTTTAGTCCTCTGCCTGGTGCACACTAGGGCCAGCTATAAAATCAGGAAACTCACTCCTTGCTATTTCCTTCTTCCAAGTGTCAACTGCTTTTCAGTATCGGCCTATTTTGTTCATTCTCCATTGCCTTCAGATGGCTGTTTTTTTTTTAAATATTTTATCCAGAATTTATAGAAAGTATCTGTGGGAGGTTTGGTCCTATGGGTGTTATTTGATCATTAGTGTAAGCAAAAAATGTTGTGTATATATTTTTACTGCTTATCATGTTTTCCTTTTTCTTTGGCCCACTATTTCATGTAGAATAGATTGACAGTCATTAGTTTTACAGCTTAGTCCACAGATTCTGAATTACAGAGAACGGCTCATGATGGAATGGAGGGGAATATTGGCAACGTCCAGAGATCATACATTTTTATCAGGATGAAATTGGAAAAGGGAGCACATTTCTAAATCATCAAGATTGGTGGTTTGAAAACATATCCAAGTGCTTCGACATACCTCATATGAACAGATGCAGTCTTATTCCCCTTCTCTTCAAAACAGGCCTTCATGATGTGTTTTAGTAAATTGTATGTCTCAGAACTGACACAGAAGAAGTTACAAGGTTTATAAAGCTGGCACCTTCTTGTCACATGTGCCCTTGGCACCTAGAGCCAAATGCTGGAGAAACTACGTAGAGAAACAAAATAAAAATAGAGATGCCTGAGGATCCTCAGCTCACTGCCCACCCCCAATAAAACATATCATTAATACGTTTCCTATCATCAATATATTGATTAGACAGATAATTTGTAATATTTGCAGAATGTTTCATTCAGTTATGATCCATAGTTTCTATACCCTCTTTACATTGAGTTTTTTTTAAGAGAAGGAATATTTGAATTTTTTTGAGGAATATTAGGAATGGGAGACAAAGGAGATAATTGGAAATTCAGGGGCTCAGAGGTGGCTAAGCAAATTAAATGGAAATACTTGACATCAGATGTCAACTTCAAAAAAGGCTTTCTTTAATTAAAAAGTGGAAGAAATCTCTTTTCTAACTACACATAAAAAATTATAACAGCACTGAAATGATCATGATTATGTTTCTTCATTCCTATTATACAAACGAATTTTTTTTCTAAGCTATTCACATACTGGTATAAATCTAGTATTCTTTAGTACTGTTTTTGGTATATATATACAAAATTTACTCTACATATGTTTGTCACTCAAATTTAATTGTGTGCATCATTATCTAACAACAACATAAAATAAGAATTCATAATGAAATAAAACCTACCCCAAAGATACATTCTCCTCATTGATTTAGAGTTGAATGTCTTTACCATCCAAAAAATTAGATGTTCAAACAATGATAGTTAAGTTCATACATGTGGTACAAATTACAATGGAAAACAGCAATAATTTGCTGATAAAAGCTATATGTTCTTAATTATAAATAGAGATAATTCTTCAAATGAAATATCATACAATAAACTATCATATAATAAACATACATATATATGTGAAATGTACTCGGCTTCATAATTTATGGTCAGTGTTGTTATTCATACACATGCACACATATACACACATATATATATGCGTGTGCACTCCTGTAACTTGCTTCAATGAACAGGAAATTAGTAGACTTTACACAGAGATTTAAGATGGCTTCCACATTGGAGTTTCTTGCTCTTTTCCATTTACCATGAGGACATCATCTGGCTATTACACTGTTCCCAGAAGAAGAATGAGAAACTAATGGAGTCAGAATGCTACTGCCTGATCTAGCCTAAATCATCCAAACTCTATCTTCAAGATGCAGTACGTGGCCCATCTCCAATCACCACAGCCATCCATCAAACCCAGCTTAGAAAAATGAAATCCAAAGACATATGAGATACAAATATCTAATGTAGTTTTGGAGGATTTTCTCTTGCAGAAAAACATAAGTGACATAGGTATTCTGCTAAACCAAAAGTGTGGGAAATATGTCCACACTTGTTGTGTCAGGAATTCAGGATACAAGGGAAAAATAGTTGGAGAATGTCAAAGTTTTGTCATATGAAGTCAATAATTAAACCTAAAAGAAAAACCTGTTGAAAAATCCGGGGTTGGCAGGAAACATCATGTCAAATTTCCAAAAGTTGCAACTAAAATCAGAAAGTTTCTTCTTAAAATCTCTTAGAGTTATACATGAATGTATACAAATAGTGGATTTTTCCCTTCAGTATATAATGAGCAGGGTAATAATAATTTTCATGGAAAATTTCTCCTAATTAATAATTTTTATAACTAGACTACACACTTAGAAATGGGCCAAAACAAAAATGGAAAACATAGCAATGTATCATAAACACTCATGTAACCATTATGTAGGGCGAGACATGGAACATTGCTAAGAGGCTAGGTTTACCTCAATGCCACTTTCCAATCCCCTACACCTTTCTTCACACCTCTTATGATAAGTACATCCATAATTTATAATGATCTTTTTTTATTTTCTTTGTACTTTACGAACAAAGCATGCAACCCTAAACTCAATAGCTTCGTTTGGTCTGCTTTGAACTGTGTATAGGTGCAATCCTATATGTCCTTATTCATGGCTTCCTGGACTCAACATTATGTATCTGAAATTTAATCACATGGTTGCATGTACATGTGATTCATTTATTTTCACTTCTGTATATTTTTCCATTTTATGATTTTACTGTAATTATTTATCCATCTTTATTTGATATATATTTGGGCAGCTTATTTTTGAGCTATTATTAATAATGCTACAATGAACATTCTTTCACATATCATTTGCTACAATTCCTTTGTGTATATATATCTGGGTGTAGATTTATACGGTCCTGGATTATGATATTCAAATTCTACTCACAGACATAGAAAAGCCCAAAACAGTTTGACTAAATTTATTCCTGTCACTTTGTCTCCAGTCTCCTTATTGCTATTTGCATATATCTTATCAATTATACAATTAATCCAACAAGACACTATTGTTTTCTACAGGCAACATTTATTTAGAATTACACACTTATTTTTCATTGTCATTAATTTTATTGCTTCTTGCATGTTCAACTTTGTATTTTCAGTACAACTTTGTATTTTCTCTTGCTCTATTTTCTCTCCTCTAATCTTACAGAACTCCAGAAGTATGTTACATATTCCAACTGTAGCATGAATTTGTTACCCTCTAGTCTTATATTTTCCATCTTTCTCTCAGTGCTTCATTCTTTGTAGCTATCTTCCAATTCACTAATTATCTCTTCTACTCCATCTAACTGGTTAACTCTGTCTATTGGATTCTCAATATTGATAATTCATTTTTTAGTTTTCTTGTTTTAGTGTTCAGAATAATCTTTTATTATCTTTCCATAAATTATTTTCTACAGGGAAACTGAACAAACTAATCTTAACGGCATGTTCTTTTTAAAAGTGTTTTTGATTTTGGGGTTTTTTGTTTTCTGTTTTAGTATGTTAGAAATGAAAATGGTAACAAATTCCTTCTTTTCCCAACACTTTGGTCAGAGAATAGAATAAAAGCTTCATCTTGGAATTTACCTTCAATTTGAAAGAAACCAGAAATGAAGTTCATATAAGTAGCTTTTTTGGGATAGTAGCTTGTCTTGCTGGGTCCTCGCCACACAATCTCCTCACAAGGAAACTCAATGAGTAGCACTGCATTTCAAAATATCATTGCAATAGATAAAATATAGTTCATCAACCACAGCTATGTCATTGTATTCCATGAATTAATTTTCACTTTGCTTATGTTGTAGAAATGGGGCTCTGTGCCTTTGAACTCCATCCTTACCTACATGAAATAGAGAAGATGTGGGGGAGGGCTTATTTGATTTGTTTAGCCCTAAAATCCTCTCTTTAGAAATAAGAGCTTGATCATGAAATGGTTTATTTATTTTTCTTATTAAGCAATTTTATTTATACTAAAATCAAAATCTTTTTATAGTGTTCCTTGGATTAGTTTAATATCATCTATAATTGTTTTCTTCAGCAATGTATTTTAAACTGCACTACACTTAACTTTCTAAATCTAAATGTATTCAACTTGACTTGAACTTTGCTGTTTACTAACGTAAATTTCCCACAATGATATCTCTTAGAACTTATGTAAACGTTGTCCAAATTATGTATGTAAATATTTCAAAAATAAATCATTTAATAAGATAGATGTAAATGTAGATGATTATAATAATGATGATAATGTCAGCTAAAAGGGAGAATGTTATTTGATAAATGTGATTTGGGTCTTCTTTTCAATGTACTAGAGTTAAGGGTAGTGGGAGAACACTATTATTCTTTCTCATGGATTTACGATTTTTTTTTTTGACATGGAGCTTCACTCTTGTCACCCAGGCTGCAGTGCAATGGCGCAATATTGGCTCACTGCAGCCTCTGCCTCCCTGGTTCAATTGATTATCCTGCCTCAGCCTCCCAAGTAGCTGGGATTACAGGTGCCCGCCATCACGCCCAGCTAATTTTTGTATTTTTAGAAGAGATGGGTTTTCACTATATTGGCCAGGCCAGTCTGGAAATCCTGACCTCAGGTGATCCACCAGCCTCGGTCTCCCAGAGTGCTGGGATTACAGGCATGAGCCACCATGCCCGGCACAATTCTTGTATTATTCTCAGCATCAGGCCTAGACAAATACCCTCACATAATATTTCGTCAAGAATAATACAAAACCGACACATTTCCAATGATTTACTTGCTATTTTTTTTCTTTTACCACATTCTAAAAATTACAGTAAAATTGACCTCCAGCAAAGAATACTCTCTTGTTGGCTGTTTAATTTTGTTCCACTTTCCTATGAACTTACACAAATACTCTTTGCAATTATAGAGTGAATAAGCTTCATTTCATCTTTTAATAGCATCATTAACAAGTTAAATTCTCTCTACTGCTTATTTACATTCTCAGCTACTGTCACAAAATCTGGGTGATTTTATTATAGCAGTCCAAGTAGTTATACTACATATGTTTTATGCCTTAACAAAATTATCTTTCTACTAATTCTCCTGTAATATTCAAAAAATTTGTAGTATCAAAATATTTTTCCTCACACATGTGTACACATGCATGGTATTATAATCTTTGAATGGTAAAAATATGTGTATTATTATTTCATTTAGGGATAAATTTAGAAAATTGTCCTGTATATTTAATATCGATATTACTATATTGGAAATTCACTAATTTCTGCCACTTTGAAATGTTGTGATCATAAATATCTAAATTGGAAATAAGAAAAAAAGGTGTCTAGCAAAATACAGATGTGCAAAATCTGATGTTTCAAAATAAGAATAACATTAAGAGTGTGGAGGTAGACTTCCTGTTTATCTCTTCCTTTTTAAAATTAATTTAAAGTTTAAAATTTTATCTTGGATTTCTTACTATCATAATGCTCTATTCTTCTTTATTCAGCAAAAATTCTAATTACCATGGTGTCTACAAGAATGTTTTTTCAGCCTATTTTATATTCATTCATTTATTATATGATTCTGCTTTTAAAATATTTTCATTACTATGAAACATAACATATATATAAATTAATAAAGCCTGAAGGTACAGTATAGAAAAAAATTATAGCATTAAGGGTCATGTTACCACATCTTGGTCATGAAGTAGAATTTACCAGCAATCCAGACACTCCCCATATACACCTTCTTGTTGATATCATTTCCCTTTTGTTTCCTCCGTCCCTACTGTGCCAGTTGTTACAATAATCACTCTTGGGTCTCACTTTAGAATTTCGACAACAATGTAATAAATTGCAATTCATTAAAAATATAGTTTTGTAAACTTTATATAAATGTAATTATACGGAATCATGTTTCCATCTTAATATCTCTCGTATCTATGTAGTGCAAATTTGTTCATTTTCCTTTTTATTAACATTCTTTATAAACGTCTCTCTAGTTGGTTCATTTTGATTGCTGTATAGTATTCTATTGTATGACTATGCAATAATTTATTTATCCATTTTATCACCCATGGACATTTGACAGACTTGTCAACTTTAGCAATTAAAACTCAGTGATATGCATGTGTGTGTATATGTATTCTGATAAGAGTGCAATAGTGGGTCTTCAGATGTGATCCATCATCTTAATCAGATAATGCCATACTCAAAGTAATTGCACTGATTTACAATTCTAGGATTACAATCCTAGAGTGTAACTGTACTAGACATATTTCCTTTAACCAAACATTATGTCAAATGACTTTGGGAAAATATGATTAGTTAACAGTATACTGTAAGGCAAATTTTAGCATTGTTTAACAACTCATTAAAAGGACTCAAAGAAAATAATATGTTGAAATATCAAAATAGTCTATAAGCCTAATGAAGGTGCCCATGGGAAAATACAAATTCTACCATTACTGTTATGGAAAATAATGATGAGTAGTAAACATACCATGTCCGCATTTTTTAAGGCAGGCCTAATACCAATGGACAAGTTTCCCTTTAAGGTCCTGACCTTAATTTCTATGTGCTCCTGATTTCTGACTGTGCAATAACGTTCTTGTTCCTTTTAAATTCTCTGGCTAATGTCAAACAGGAAAGCACCGGGGAATGCTATTGAATGAGTTCAAGGCTGTCTTAATGGAAAACAGGATAATTTCCAAAACAGCTCAAATTAACTCCTATTCAAATACTATATGCTTGTTATAAGATAAAATTTTTCATACTGATGTTGATGTGAAAGCTGAATTCTCATTTGCTAGCATGCAAATCAAGTCATACACTTAATCATCATTTTGCAATTTTTTCCTTGTTTAATGTCTCCATAATTTGCGTTCAGCAATGTGAGTTGTTAGGGAAATTTTCCAACCTAATACATAAATCATACATTGGATGCCTACACTGTTATATGTAGCTTGGTCAAAACTAGAATCATGACCACTGTTGAATCATTTTTTCAATGCCAGATTTATGGAGAGTGAATCCCAACTTTTCTACCAAAAGTGTCCAAGGTTTTCTTGGGAAGCCCAGGAAGGCCAATATTCCTTGAAAACTGGTTACTGCTAACTAATAATTTTGTACAACTTATTGTTAACAAGCTCATTAACACAAACACATTCACACACACACACATACACACCCCTCATGGTTTGGAAAAATTACTGTCCTATAACTTCTAAAATGAAAATTAATTTTCTTACTCGGGCTTTTCAGCCCATTTTCAATGTTTATCAAACTTAATCTCTAAGGCTTAGGCCTTTAACTAAGTTATTCTCTTGAGAATACTTAAATATTAGTTATTTAATTAAAATACTCAACTATTTTGGCCGGACACGGTGGCTCACGCCTGTAATCCCAGCATTTTGGGAGGCCGAGGCGGGCTGATCACGAGGTCAGGAGATCGAGACCATCCTGGCTAACACGGTGAAACCTCGTCTCTACTAAAAATACAAAACCAAAGTTAGCCGGGCATGGTGGCAGGCGCCTGTAGTCCCAGCTACTCGGGGAGGCTGAGGCCAGAGAATGGTGTGAACCCAGGAGGCGGAGCTTGCAGTGAGCCGAGATGGCGCCACTGCACTCTAGCCTGGGCGACAGAGCGAGACTCAGTCTCAAAAAAAAAAAAAAGAAAAAGAAAAAGAAAAACCTCAACAATTGTATAACTATTCCTTGGGCACTAAAAAAACATGTTTTCCATAGAAGAATTTACACTTCTCTGTGTATGAATATTCACTTTTACTTTTCTCTATTTATTTTTGATTACTTATTGATTTATGATGAATAGATGTTAAAATCAGTCTCCAATCCTGGATTTTGTTTCTTTTCAGTTTTTATAGCATAACTGTTTCTAAGAGGGGATCTTGGAGTCAGACGCCAGGTCAGGAAATCATATTCCCTGCTTGGTATAGCTATGCTCTGAGACTCCATTTTCCAACTACTCCTGCCTCAGTATAATCACCTATAAAAAGCGGGCGCAGTGGCTCATGGCTGTAATCCCAGCACTTTGGGAGGCCAAGGCAGGTGGATCACCTGAAGTCAGGAGTGCAAATCCAGCATGGCCAACATGGTGAAACCCTGTCTCCACTAAAAATATAAAAATTAGCCAGGTGGTGGTGGCACGCACCTATAATCCGAGCCACTCGGTGACTGCAGCAGGAGAATCATTTGAACCCAGAAGGCAGAGGTTATAGTTAGTCGAGATCACGCCACTGCACTCTAGCCTGAGAGACAGAGCGAGACTCCGTATCAAAATAACAACAAAAAGGAGATGATAATAAAACTTTCATTGGTTAGTTTTGTTAGGAGTTAATATACTATTTCTGTAACTACTTTCAATTTTACCTGTTTGCTATAAGCAGGAACCAAAGATTGTTAATTATTGATTTGATCCTGTTTCTCTTGATATTTGACACCAGTGAGAACTTCCACCTTTTTTTTTGTTCTGAGACAGCATCTCCCTCTGTTACCCAAGCTGGAGTACAGTGGCACAATCATAGCCCACTGCAGCCTGGAACTCCTGGGCTCAAGCAATCCTCCTGCCTCAGCTTCTCAACTATTTGGAACTATAGGCATGTACCACCATGCCAGGTAATTTTTAAAATTTTTTGTAGAGACGGAGTTTCCATATGATGCACAGGGAACTCCTGCTCTCAAGGGATCTTCACACCTTGGCCTCCCAAAGTACTAGGACTACAGGCATGAGCCATCACATCCAGCCCGCAGTGGGAGTTTTGAAGGTCAGATGCTACCTAGAGCTTCGGCTCATGTCCATCCCAAGGTGGATCTAATCAGTTTGTAGTTATTACCTCTTCCTGAATTGAAATGGATACGTATGGCAGCTGGCAGGACTCTCACATTCTTCGTGAACTGTAGAGTAAGGAACATTATTATAGCAGGACCAAGGGAAAGCCTCTGAAATTCTCCTCTACTGGCAACAAAATATATAAAATATAATAACCGCATTCCCTAAGGAATGGAACTGGTCACTGTCATGACAAAACACCTGAAAGTTACAGGGGATGGTAGTCTTTTCTATAACCCGATTCACTTAACCTATCTGGCCTCTACCAAAACCAGATGGGTTATCGAATGAATGCAGACTACCATAAACTTAAATCAACACTCACAAATGCTTTCCAGGATGTGCTATCTTCACTGAGCAGAGCAGAGCTTCTGGTACTTTTTGTGGGGCTAGTGATTTGGTGAATGGTTCTTAATCTACACCCATTATGAGGGAAAATCAAAACAATTTGCCTTGTAAGAATAATAGCACTGCTTCACTGTTGTATGTCAGGGCTATGTCACTTCTGTTCTCAGTTTAATTTACATTTTTTAAAACATCCTGCCAGTTTAATGTATTGATAATATTACAGACCGGGCCCTGTGGCATATGACTGTAATCCCAACACTTTAGGAGGCCGACACAGGCAGATCACTTGAGCCCAGGAGTTTGAGACCAGCCTGGGTAACACGGTGACATCCCAGCCCTACAAAAAATACCAAAATTAGCCAGGCATGGTGTTGTGCCCCTGCAGTCCCAGCTGCCAGCAATGCCGAAGTGGGAGAATCACTTGTGCCCAGAAGGTTGAGGCTGCAATGAGCTGTGATCCTGCCACTGCATTCCAGCCTCAGGGACAGAAAGAGACCGTGTCTCAAAATAATACCAATAATAATATATTAGTTGGTACAATAATCAGGAAATGGCAAGTTTCTTCAGTATAGTAAAATATTATAACATTGAGCAGAAGTAAAATACCAGAAGAAAATAGATAAATCAGAGAAGATTCAGGGACCGACAACATAGGTGATGTTTTAAGGTTTTTAGTGTCCCTAGTCCACATGCTGAGACAATCTTTTTTACAGTAAACGGCATTTTGCTCTCTCTATATATTTCCTATCACTACAAAAGAGACACTATGTTTTGGGGGCCTACTGGGATTTTGGAGACAACATATTCCACATTTGAGAATATTGCTCTGACTCACGAACGATGTTTCTAAAGGCTACTGGTCTCAAATGGAGCCCAGAACTAAAGAGGGCTCTACAGAAGATATAGGCTCTGGTCCAGGCTGCTCTGGCCACTGTGCCAGATGATCCAGCGGAATTCAAAGCTGCTAGAGGCATGCATAGTGGGCATTATAGGACTCTGTGCATGTCTCTGACAAGCCTGTAGGAGAGGGGAGAGCAAATCCCTATGGAATCAGTGTAAGACCAGTGTAAGACCATTCCCTCTTCAGCAGAGGGAATGCTGAAGTATACTCTGTCTGAAAAGCCAAACAGCAAGTGCAGAACATTAATCCAAGCATAGAGTCACTCTAAGCACAAGCCCCTATAAGCACAAAACCCTGTACAACTGTGCAAGTCATATGCTCATAAAGCCAGCCATGACTGGAGGGTATGAGCACGTCTCAGTGGCACAAGGAGTGGTGGTATTGGACACAAACATGTGCTTTCTCAGATTCCCTTCACTATCTCCTGTTCCCCTGGTCAGCACCTTGCCTGATCCAGATCATCCTTCCATTTGGGACTTGAATGCATCACCACACTGTGGGCATGAGGTCTGACTTTCATGACCACCACCAAGGGACTGGATGATGTAAGACAGAACAACAGAGATGGTAGTTCTAACTCAGGGAAACCCTGGCCAAGGGGAAACAGAAGACTAACGACAGCTGAGCAGATACATTCTCCCTCCTCTCTCTCTCTTCCATGGACTAATGCCAGCTGTGGTTTCCCTTTGTAGCCCTTCTGGAAAAGTTCTGGGAGTCAAGTGCATGCATCTGATGACCACCATGCTGTCTCTCTCACCTCACTGTGAAGTGGCTGCCAGCAGTCATACCAGACATCACCACACATTGTTTCACATCGGTTCTTGTCTCAATTTCCACATGTCCCTGCCATTTTTGTCTTGAATTGGCCTTCCATATAAATGTCATCACTTTAATATCAGGTATTACGTTAAAAACATTTTAGTAAAGTAGCTGGTTACTAACTCAATTTTTTGAAATGAAATGCCATTTTTATATGATAATCAACTAGAAAATATCATAATACAAATATATAATTCACAATAGAAAAAAATACATACGCAAATAGACCAAAGTCTTTTATATGCTTTTTTAAAATATTGTAATAGTGGCATCTAATTTTGATGTTCTACCTTGTCGCCAATTCAGACACCTGATACAGCTGCATCAAGACTATATTATTGTGATATTTCCCCTAAAATTGTGGAATAGCCAAACTTTTCCTCTGAGGAAGGATTCTGCTTGGATAAGCCTGTAATCTTAACCTGAGACCAGAACAGGGGAACTCATGCAACTGCAGATTTTGTGATGAGTTTCCCTTTCATTGGTTTACCACATCAGCTTACCCATTTTATCCACCCATTTATTTGTTCATTAAAATATCATTTTTGACCATCTATTCCTTGTGCTGGGTTCTAGGTCCTGGGAGTCAACAGAAAGCCTGACAGACACGATCTCTTCTTTTATGGTTCTTACATTGTACTGAGGAAGATACATGATTCTAAAAAATACATGAATCAGGTGTGGGGATGATTTATCTTAAGGTCTGAACAACATTGTTAAAATTTCATAACACCAAGAATTAATACAGTCATGTAGAATTTAGCTGTAAACAAGACTGTACATTTCCTTCTTATAATAGAACTTCCCATTAATGAATATGTCAAGACAATTCCATTTAATCATTGACAACAAAATTACACTAGGACAAATCCCATAATTAATACATAGATTTCATAGATACTATTTTAACACTTAAAAAAAGTTTCACTGAATTATTTTCCATAATTTTTATACTATTTTCACATTGACAGATTTTTTTTTAGAAAACGGAAGACTGGAGTTCTCTTATCTGAAGTTTAGAAAGAATTTTAAAAATGGAAGATAAGGATATAATTAGCAATTCAGGGGCTTAGAAGTGCTTTAGAAAAAATACTAAAATAATTTACATCTGAGCTCAATTTCAAAAAAAGTTTTTCTTTAATTGAAAAGCTGGAAGAAATGACTGTTCTAACTGCATATGGAAGCTGATAATAGCAATCAAGATCATGATCATGATTTTTCATCCCTCTTATAGCAGAGATTTTTTTCTAAGCTATTCACATACTTGTATTAAATCTAATATTCCTCAGTACTGTTTATGGTACACATACATGAAATTTACTATACGTATACTTCTCACTCAAATTTTATTGTGTTCATTGTTTTGTAACAATAATTCTGATTGCTTTTTACTAAACATAAAATAGGAATTCATAATGGAATAAAACCCTGAAGATACATCCTCATTAGTGATTAAGAATTGAACGACCTTATTATCAAAAAGTTATAGGTTAAAACAACAGATTGTAAGCACACTGTGGTATATTTGTGTCATTCAAATAACAATAGAAAAGAGCAATATTTTTCCTGAGATAAGCTGTTAGTTCTTAATAATTATAAATAGATATAAATTCTACAAATGAAATATAAAATACATGTATGAAATAAACATGGCTTCATAATTGAGGAATTTTTGTCATATTTTCTATAATTTGGCAGTTTTTGTGAAAAAACAATAAAAAGCATGTTATTGTCAATGTTCTTCAGTTTTTCATACACACACACACACACACACACATCTATATATATGTACTTTTCTAGACTAACTTTAGGTAAAAGACTTTTCTAGGTATACATGTGGAAATTATTCATATACATATATTACAGAAAACCCAGTAAGAAATATAAAATGTTTCATACACCACCAGTTTGTTTTCTGCTAGAAGACACACAATGCCCCTCTTGTGAATCTATGGAGACGAAGGCTTCTGTCTTTCACCCAGTACCTCACATGCCGCAAAACTGAAAGAAAAATCTGCTTTAGCTTCTTGTTTCCCAAAATCAGGATGAATGGGTGGGTTGAAGGATAGCTGAATATAATAGCTTGGCAGAACATGAAGACAGGTTGCTTTTCCAGCCTCCCAAAATTACAAACTGATATGATCATGGACAGAAAGTAAATGGCACATAACAGAAGAAAGGAGGTCACAGTTTGCAAAGCTTTTATGTGGACCTTGGTGCTGGGATCTTGAGATCCTTTGCCATGGAGCTGCATCTTCTTGAGATGTTTACACAGAGAACAGATTAACAGCAGAAAAGATATCAGGGTCAGAGTGAGGGGTACAAAGTTTGCTAGCATGGTTAGAGTCATATTTGAATGGTACATTGCACTCCTCAATTTGATCTTCCAAGTCACGTTTCCTTCATATTCTTTTGTCCATACAGTCTCATCCATGTTTATCACAAAAAGATGACAAACCAAAAATAGCAAAGGCCCCAACAGTATCACCAGAACAACACTCTTAACTCTCCTCTTTATGCGAAGAAAAATAAGGTTGGAGAAATTGGCAATCCTGAGCAAATAAAACATGCTGAGGCTAGTAGCAAGCCAGCTGCTGAAATGGTTGGTTACTGCCCAGACATTATAAGCAGTAATTCTTACTTCTACACTATAAAAAGCTGGATTCAACTGAGTTGCATACCAATGTAGTAATAACACCCAGAGCAAACCAACTCTGGAGACCGCCAGAGCAGTGAGAATTTGGTCAACAAAGGAGATCTTTTGTCTCTTGACCCACTCAATGGAATTTACCAATGCTATGAAGCCATTAGCAAAATTTCCAATAACAAATATAACCACTATTAGAATGGAAAAAATGATGGGCAGAAAAGTTATCATGTCTGAACAGACAAAAAGAAATTTTTAAAATGCTGGTGTAATATCACTGGTTGTGATTGCTTGAATATCCTGACCTTAAATTCTATATGCACCTGATTTGTGTATGTGCTGTGACATTCTTTTTACTTTTAATTGCTGTGACCAGTGTCAAGTCAGAAATCACCATGGCATGCTAATGGATAAGTTCAATGCTCTCTTTATGGAAAACATTCTTATTTTCAAAACAATTCAAATTAACTGACTCATTCACCATCTGTTCTTGTTATAGGCTGGAATTATTCATACTGAAATTGACATGAAACCTGAATTCTCATTTGCTAGTATGCAAACAAGGACATGTTCACTTCCAGTGTTTGCAATTTTTCCTTGTGTAACCTCTCCATCATTTGTCTTTAGCGACTTCAGTTGCTTGGGAAGTTTTATAACCCGATATGTAGATCGTATAGTAAATGTCTAAAATCTTAAAGGGAGCTTGATCATAACTAAGATCATCACCAATACGGACTTTTTTAAATGCCAGATTTAAATACACAGAATCCAAACTGCTTTTATCAAAAGCATCTAAGATTTACTTGAGAACCACAGGCAGGCCAATACTCCATAAGATCTGGTTGCTGCTAATACTTTTGTGTAACTTCATTATTCACAAGCTCATAAATACACACACAAACACACACATGTGCACACCACTTATGAATGGAACGAATTATTTTCTCATAATTTCCAAAATAAAAAATCAGTTTCCAGGAGGTTGTCCAGGTGAAATTAGTCCTATTTTCCCACTCAAGGTTTTCAGCCCACGAATAATGTTTATTTATCAAACATATCTCTAATTCTTAGGCCTTTGGTAAAGTTTCTCTCAAGTCTAATATTTAAATATTTATTATTTAATTAAAATGTTCAGCAATTTTATAAGTATTCCTGAGTACCAGACCCTTTGATATATAATCTTGCAGTATCCTCCCATCACACGAAGACTGACTACCTTTCCCCTGAACTTGAAGTTCAATCATTTAACTTACTTTGATGAACAAAAAATTAATACACTTTGCATAGAAATTTGAGATAGCTTCCATACTGGGTGTTCTTCCTCTTTCCATTTACTATGAGAATATCACCTGGCTAGTACACTGTTCCCAGAAGGAGAATCAGAAACTAATGAAGGCAGATTGCCCCCCACCTGATCCAGACTAAATTGGCCAAACTCTAACGACCTCCAAGATGCAGAATTTGGCCCATCTCAAGTCACCAGAGCTATCCAACAAACCCATTTAGAAAAACAAAATCCAAAGCCATGTGATATATAAATATCTAATGTAGTTTTGAAGGGTTTCTCTTGCAGAAAAACATAACTGATAAAAGAACTCTGCTAAACCAAGAGTGTGGGAAATGTGTACAACCTTGTTGTGTCAGGAATTCAGGAGCCAAAAGAAAAAATAGATGGGGAACGGCAAAGATTTGTTCATGTGAGGTGGATAATTAAGGCTAGAAGAAATCCTTTGGAAAAATCTGGGGTGGCAAATAAAATCATCTCAAATTTCCTCATGTTGCAACTAAATAAAGTTCTTACTTCAACTCTCTTAGAGTTGTATAAGAATGTATACCAATAGTTTATTTTTCCCCTCAGTATATAATGAGACGAGTAATAATAATTTCTATGAGACGTTTCTCCTAATTAAAACTTTTTATGTTAAAATTATAATGCACACTTAGAAATGAACCAAAACAAAAATGGGAAATACCGCAGTGTATCATAAACATTCAAGTAACCATTATGTGGAGCAAGACAAGGAACACTGAAAACAGCCTAGGTCCACCTCCATGCCACTTTCCAACCCCCTAAACCCTTCTTCACATCTCCTGAGATAAGCAATATCCATAATTTATATTGATTATTTCCTTAATTTTCTTCACACTTTACCAACTAGGTATGCAACCCTAAACTCCATCGCTTGGTCTGGCCTGCTTTGAACTCTGTGTAGGTGCATTCCTACATGTTCTTGTTGTTTGTGGCTTCTTGGACTCAACATTATGTTTCTGAAATTTAGTCACATAGTTGCAAGTACATGTGGTTTTTTTTCACTTCTCTATATTGTTCCGTTGCATGGAATTAATGTAATGATTCACCCATCCTTAATGTACATTTGGTCTGCTTCTTTTTTGAAGTTATGAATAATTCTACTAGAGAATTCTTTCATATATCATTTGATGCAATTCCTCTGTATATATACCTTTGGGTAAAATTACAGGGTCATTGTTCAAAATCTCCTCATAGACATAGAAAAGTTCAAAAACTACTTCAAGTAAATTTACTCCTGTCACCTTTACCTCCAGTCTATTTTTTGCCATTTGCATATGTCTTATCAATTATATAATCACCCTCAAGACATTATTATTTTATACAGCAAACATTCATTTACAATTATGCACATATTTATCACTTTCATTAATTTGTATTCCTTCTTGCATATTCAACTTAATATTTTCAATAAGTCTCTTTATTGGCCAGGCAGGGTGGCTCACACCCATAATCCCAACATTTTGTAAGGCTGGGGCAGGAGCACCCAGGAGTTCAAGACCAGCCTGTGCAATACACCGAAACTCCCTCTACAATAAATGAAAATGTGAGCCAGGCATAGTGAAGCTACTCACAAGTTCTTTAAAAAGGAGTTTTTATAAATTTTTAGTATACCTGACATGAAAATGGTCACAATTTTCTTCTTTTTGTAATACAAAGGTCACAGAAGAGATTAAAATCATGGTCTAGGCATTCTCCTGCAACTTGGAAGAAACCGGAAATTGATTTGATGTGAGTAGCTTTTTTTGGATAGTAGCTTGTCTGTTGCTGGGTCATCACCACAAACTCACCTTATAGGGAAATTCAGTGAGCAGCACTAGATCTCAAAATGTCATTACAATTAATAAAATATAGTATCTCAACCACAGCTCCACCAATCTATTCCACGATTTAAATTTTACTGTTTTTATAAGCAGAAATCAAGGCTTCTTCATTTATAACAATCTTTAAAAGATCAAAGAGTAAAACAGTACTTACAAGTTTATCAAACATTGAAGAACTTTTATTCCCATGGAAACAAAACTGAATCTGGTGCTTCTAAGGAATTCCACCATTTAATCCCTATCCGTGAATATAGTTTTGGTTATAGAACTATAACCTTCAAACTCCATCATCACTCACTCAAGTGTGACAGAAGATCTGAGGTCTTACCTCTGTTTGACAATCTGGTCCTAAAACTCTCTCTTTAGAAATATAAGCTTGCTCATAAAATGTGCTATTTGCTTTGTCTTTCTTACTAGGGAGGTTTAGTTCCATTAAAATCTAAATTGTTTCCATAGTGATCATAGTGAAAAGAGGATTAGTTTAAGCTCATCCATAAATAATTATTTGCTTAAGCAATGTATTGTAAAATAAACTACACTTAATTTCTAAATCTAAGTGTATTGAGCTTGACTTAAACTTTGCTGTTTACTCCTGTAACTTTCCAATAATTATGATCTTTTTAAAATTACTTATTTTCCAAATTATGTGTTTAAATATTTCAAAAATAAATCATTTAATGAGATAGATGTGGATATAGATAATGATAATGATGATGGCAGGTAAAAGGGAGAATGCTATTTGATAAATGTGATTTCAGTCTTGTTTTTTAAGTACTAGACTTCAAAGTAATGAGAGAACAATATTATTCTTCTTCATGGCCTCATGATTCTTATATTATTCCAGCATCAGGCCTAGGCAAATACCCTCACGTGGTATTTCATCAAGAATAATGTAAAACCAATGTATTTTCAATGATTTATTTGCTTTTTTTATTTTATTATACTTTAAAAATTCATAGCAAAAGTGATCTCCAACAATTAGGATTCTATTTTGGGTTTTTTTGTGCAGTTTTCAATATGAAAATAGACAAATACTCTATGCAATATACAGCATATCAATTTTATTTCATCTTTTAATAGCATCATTAGCAAGCCAAATTCTTGTAAATGCTTTTTCACATTCTTAGCTATGGTGACTAAATCTGTTATCTTACTATAGCAGTCAAAGTAGCATTATATATGCACAAACATACTCAAAGATCATGCTAAATATGTTTTACACCTTAACAAATTTGCCTATGATTTTTCTTCTCTAATGCAGAACCAAAAAATATATAGTAACAAAATATTTAACCCAAAATGCAGGTGTACACATGAATAGTATTGTGAAATTAGAATGCTAACAATATGAATATACATATTTCATTTAGAGACACATTTTGGCATAATAGGTCTATATATGTAATATCCATCTTACTATAGTTTATTGGAAATTCATGACTTTCTGACACTGAAATGTGAATTATGAATAATTAAATTGGAAATAAGAATAAAGGTGTCTAGCAATCATAAATATTCAAATTTTGATGTTTCAAATTCATATTAGCATTAAGAAGGTGGATTTACAGTTCTTGCTTATCTTCTTTTTTAATTAATTTAAGAAAACTTTTGGGCCAGGTGTGGTGGCTCATAACTGTAATCCCACCATTTTAGGAGGCTGAGGCAGGTGGATTGCCTGAGCACAGGAGTTCAAGACCAGCTTGGGCAACATGGCAAAATCCCATCTCTACCAAAAATAGAAAAAATTAGCAGGGCGTGGTGGTGCACGCCTGTTGTCCTAGCTACTCTGGAGGCTGAACTGAGAGAATCACTTCAGCCCGGGTGGCAGAGGTTGCATTGAGCCGCGATTGCACTTGTGCACTCCAGCCTGGACAACAGAGCAAGACCCTGTCTCAAAATAAAAAAAGTTTTAAATTTTAACTTGTATTTCTTAGTACCATAATGCTCTATTCTCCTTTATTCAGCAAAAACTCTAATTACAATGGTATCTATGAGAATATGCTGTATCACCCTGAATTTATACGTAGAAATGTACTTATGTTTTTGCTTTTTTAACATTTTTTTATTGGGGAATATAACATACAGAGAGTAATAAAACCTAAAAACAGTAAGAAAAAATTATAACATTAACATTGATGTTACCAAACCTTGGTCAGAAAATAGAATTTGCCAGCAATCCAGATACTCCCAATATACGTCTTCTTGTTGATATTTCCCTTTTATTTCCTCCCTCCTGATTATCCCAATTGTTATGATGATCATTCATATATTTCACTGTAGAGTTTCATCACCAATGTAACAAATTACAATGTATTAAAAATTTTTTTTCCAAACTTTATGTAAAAGATCATTCCAAATGTATTTTTCCATCTTGATAATTCCTTTCACATCTGTGAGTATTATTATCTATGTAGCTCAAATTTGTTCATTTCCTTTGTTGTATTATACTGTTGTAAACATGTCAGTCTTCTTTGTTAATTTTGATCACTGTATAGTATTCCATTGTATAAGTATGCCATAATTTGTTTATCCATTTGGAGGACTGACAGACATTCCAAGTACTTCTCAACTTTAGCTACTGAAACTCAGTGATACGCATGTGCATGTATATGTATTCGGATAAGAGTGTAAATACTGGGTTTAGGATGTGATCCTTCATCTTAATCAGATAATGCCATACTCAGCCAAAATGATGGTACAGATTTATCATCCTAGGAGTAGAATATGAAAATTCCCATTGTTTCATATCCTTTCCAAAATAAGTAACGTAAGAGTAATATTTACAGTTTTGTATTTATATAACATATTATTAAACAATAGTTTCCAAGTTCTTTCCTATTCTAATTTAGAATGTATTTTTACTTCAATAAATTTCATTCTATGATAGTTATTTCATATACATTTATTAATAATGCCTTATATATTATACATATTTATTTATATTTCATTATAAATTTGTCTAACCTTTTTTTCTTCAAGTTTCAAATACTCTTTTCTTATAAGCAAGTGTAATTATACTGGAGATATTTCCTTTAATCAATCATTATGCCAAAGGACTTTGAAAAAATATAATTGTTAACAGCACTGTAAGGGAAATTTCAGGATTGTTTAACAACTCCTAAAAGGACTCAAAGACAAAAATGTTGAAATATAAAAATAGACAACAAGCTTAATGTAGGTGTCCATGGGAAAAATAAATATATCATTGCTGTTATTGAAAAAATGAATGGTAGTAAATTTATCATGTCTGAATGTTTTAAAAAGTAGGCCTAATATCACTGGTCAAGATTCCCTTTAAGGTCCTGACCTTAACTTCTATGTGTAACTGATTCCTGAATGTGCAGTAATGTTCTTGTTCCTTTTAAATTCTGTGACCAACGTCAAAGAGGAAATCATCTCAATATGCTAATGGATGAAATCAATGCTGTCTTTATGGAAAACATGATAATTTCCAAAACAGCTCAAATTAACTCCTATTCAAACACAACATCCTTGCTGTAAGGTAAAATTTTCCATATTGATGTTGAAGTGAAAGCTGAATTCTCATATACTAGCATGCCAAGGAAGAGTTTTTTAATTGTTCTGCAATTTTTTCCTTGTTTCACCTCTCCATAATTTGTTTTCAGCAACTTCAGTTGTTAGAGATATTTTACAACCCAATACATATATGACACATTGGTTGTATAGCCTGGTGAATGGAGCTTGAGGATAGCTAGGATCATCACCAAAGTAGATTTATTTTTTTTCAATGCCAGTAATATGTAGAGTGAATCCCAACTTTTCCTACCAAAAGCATTCAAGGTTTTCTTAGGAACCTCAAAAAGGCCAATAGTCCTTAAAACCTGGTTGCTACTAAGTAATACTTGTATAACTTATTGTTAACAAGCTCATTAATACAAACACACTCACACACATACACACATACTCACCCCTCATGAATAGGAGGAATTATTGTCCTATAATTTCCAAAATGGAAAATTAATTTTAGGGAGATCATCCAGGTGGAAATAGCCCTATTTTCCCATTTGGGCTTTTTGACCCATTTTCAATATTTATCAAACTTACCACTCATGCTTAGGCCTTTCACTAAGTTATTCTCTTGAGTCTAGTTAATACTTAAATATTTATTGTTTAATTAAAATGCTCAGCAATTGTGTAACTATTGTGGGTCACTTGAAAAACACGTTTTCCATTGAAGAGTCTAGACTTCTTTCTATATGAATATTTGGTTTTGTTTTCCTCTGCTTAATTTATTTTTGATTACTTAATGGTTTAAGATGAGTAGATGTTAAAATCAGTCTCCAATCTTGGATTTTATTTATTTTTCATTTTTACAGTATAATTGTTTCTAAGAGAGGATTTTGGAGTCAGACTGCCAAGACAGGAAACCAGATTTTCTGCTTCATATAGGTATGCTCCAGACAGACCTCATTTTACAACTACTCTATGCCTTGGTATAATCATCTGTAAAATACAGATGATAATAATATTCTCTTTGGATAGTCTTTCTGAGGAGTTAATATACTATTTGTATAACTGCTTTCAATTTTACCTTCTGGTACAGGCAGGAATCAAGGATTATTAATTTTTCATATGATCATGTGTTACTTGATACATAAAAGATACCAGTGAGAACTTCCTTGTTTTGGGTGGAGGGAGGGAGACAGGGTCTTGCTCTGTCACCCAGGCTGGAGTGCAGTGGCTTGATTACAGCTCACTGCAGTCTCAAACTTTTGGGCCCAAGTGGTCCTCCCACCTCACCTTCTGGAGTAGCTGGGACTACAGGCATGCACCAAAACATCCAGATAATTTTTTTTTATTTTTTTATAGAGACAAAGAGTCTCCCTATGTTGCCCAGTCTGGTCTTCAACTCATGTGCTCAAGTGGTCCCCTCATCTTGGCCTCCCAAAGTGCTTGGATACAGGCATGAACAACCACACCTGGCTGAGAACCTCCATTTTTGAGCAGAACACACAAGGTTAAGAAAGGCATGACATCCGTCTCCAACAACTAGGATAAAAGAAACAAAAGGCCAAAATTATATTTTCAATTCATCACAGAGTTGTACAAGCAACGATGACCAGCTGAACTGAAATTCAGCACAAGGAGAGTCTTTATAGGTGAAAAGTCAACTTATATATATTCAGTGCAATCCCTACCAAATCCCAGAAGACTTTTTTCACAGAAATTGGAAAACCACTCCTAAAATATATCTGGAAATGCCAAGTGACAAGATCACAAAAAGAAATTGTTAAAAAATAAGAAATTTGGAGGATTATACTTTCTGATTTCAAAGCTTACTTCAAAGCTGCCCTAATCAGGATTCTATAGAACTCACATTACAGTAGACAAAAAGAACAATGAAACACAACTGAGAGTCCAGAAACTAACACCAACATTCATGGTCAATTGCTTTCAAAAAAAGGTACTATTGCAATTCGAAAGGAATTAATCGTTTTTCTCAACAAACAATGCCAGGTAAAATTGAAGAAGACTACCTCAAGGAATTTAATAATCAATTTCCCTAAGGTCAAGGATAAAGAAAGGATTCTAAAGCAGCAAAAGAAAAGAAACAAATAATGTACAATGGAGCTCCACTACATCTGGCAGCAGACTTCTCAGTGGAAAAAGGCCAGGAGACAGTGGCATGACATATTAGAAGTGCTGAAGGAAAAAACTTTTAGCCCAGAATAGTGTTACTGGAGAAAATATTCTTCAAACATGAAAGAGAAAGACTTTTCCAAACCAACAAAAGCTGAGGGATTTCATAAACACCAGATCTGTCCTATAAGAAATGTTAAAGGGATTACTTCAATCAGAAAGAAAAGGGCATTAATGAGCAATATGTAATCACCTAAAGCTATAAAACTCACTGGTAATAGTAAGGAGACAGAAAAACACAGACTAGTATAACACTGTAAATGTGGTGTGTAAACCTCGCTAAAGTACAAAAATTAAATCATGAACTGACAAAAAAAAAATAGTTCCCGCAACCTTTGAAGATATAGACAGCACAATGATATATAAATAGTGACACAAAAAGTTAAAAACTGAGAAGATGGTGTTAAGGTGTAGAGTCTTCATTTGTTTAGTGTTTGTGCTTGTTTGTTTGCTTATGCAAACAGTGCTAAGTTGCTATCAGCTTGAAATAATGGGTTACAAGATAGTATTTGCAAGCCTCATAGTAATCGCAAATCAAAAAACATAATACAATGGATACACACAAAAAAATAAAAAGCAAGAAACTATATCATATCACCAGAGAAAATAACCTTCACTAAAGAAAGATAGGAAGGAAAGAAAGAAGAGCAGACCACAACATAACCAGAAAACAGATAACAAAATGGCAGAAGTAAGTCCTTACTACCAATAATAACATTGAATGTAAATGGACTAAACTCTCCAATCAAAAGGCATAGTCTAGCTAATCAGTTGCCTATAAGAAACACAATTCGCCTATACAGACATGCACAGATAGAAAATAAAGGGATGGAAAAAGACACTCCATGGCAATGGAAGCCAAAAAAAGAGGAATAGCTATACTAATATTAGACAAAATAGATTTCAAGACAAAAACTATGAAGCGACAAAGAAGGTCAACATATAAAGGGGTCAACTCATCGAAAGGATATAACAATTGTAAATATATATGCACTCAACACTGGAGCTCCCACGTATATAAGTCAAATATGATTAGAGCAAATACTGTAATAGATGGAGATGACAACTTATTAGCAAGTCTACTGGCTCCAGGCTGGTACTGGGAGTTGTCTGCACAGAGTCCTGTGATGTGAACAATTTATGGGACTCTCAGCCTTGGACACCAGTGCATGTTCCAGTTGAGGTGATGGAGGGTGCAATGGACTCCACGGGGGTCCTTAGCTTTGGTGGTTTAATGCTCTATTTTTGTGCTGGTTGGCCTCCTACCAGGAGGTGGTGCTTTCCAGAAAGCATCAGCTGTAGTAGTGTGGTGAGGGACTGGCAGTGGGTGTGGCCCTAGATCTCCCAGAATTATATACCCTTTGTCTTCCACTACCAGGGTGGATAGGGAAGGACCATCAGGTGGGGGCAGGGCTAGGCATGTCTGAGCTCAGACTCTCCTTCTGTGGGTCTTGCTGTGGCTGCTGTGGGGGATGGGGATGAGATTCCCAGGTCACTGGAGTTGGGTACCTGGGAGGATTATGGCTGCCTCTGCTGAGTCTTGCAGGTTGTCAGGAAAGTGGGGGAAAGCCAACAGTCACAGGTCTCACCCAGCAACCATGCAAACTGAAGGGCTGGTCTCACTCCCACCATGCCCCTCCCAGCCGACAGCACCGATTCTATTTCCAGGCAGAGGGCAAAATGGGCTTGAAAACTTGCCCAAGGCTATCTGCCTCCCAGCCATGAGAGAAAAGGGCTTTAGTTCTTCCCCAGCCTGTGACGTCTGCATGCCCGATTCACATCCTCCCCCGAGTTCTGGCCAGGAGGCTTCTTGACCAGTTCAAATTGTTATAAAGTTCAGCTAGAGATTTCTTCTGCCTGGGGGGTTTTACCCCCTGCTCCTCTGGCCACCCTCCTGATGGAGTACTATGGTGCCAGGCAGGAATCGGCTGTTTGGGGACCCAGTGAGCTCCCAGGGCCTTCTGCCCTGCTTCCTCTACCCCTGCATTTCACTCAGCTCTCTAACTTAACTCAGCTCAAGGTAAAGCCAGAAACTTCTCCTGCAAACAGACCTTCAGTTCTCCAGTGGTGGTGTGTGTTCAGAAGAGGAGGGTCTCCCTTTCCTACTCCTGCAGTTGGGGAAGTCACTGTATTTGGGTGTCTCCTGGGTCCTGCAGGAGCACTCTGCTTCCTTCAGAGGATCTGTGGGTCCTCTTGGGATTACTGGTTTGTTCTTGCAGTGGATTTGTAGCTAAAATTCACAATACAAGCATCCACATGCTGGTCTGTCTAGAGCTGCAATCTAGTCCTGCCTCACATCCATCTGCCACAATCCCCCGAAACTCTGTAGTGTTTATTGTTCCATCCGAACCTACACATGTGCCTATACTTTTTTTGTTTTGTTTTTTGTTTTTGGTTTTCTTTGAAACGGAGTCTCGCCCCATTGCCCAGGTTGGAATACAGTGGCGCAATCTCGGGTCACTGCAACCTCTGCCTCTCAGGTTCAAGTGATTCTCCCTGCCTCAGCCTCCTGAGTGTCTGGGATTACAGATACATAACACCATGCATGGCTAATTTTTGTATTTTTAGTAGAGATGGGATTTCACCATGTTGGCTAGGATGGTCTGAAACTCCTGACCTCAAATAATCTATCCTCCTTGGCCTCCCAAAGTGCTAGGATTACAGGTGTGAGCCACCATACCCAGTCTACATGTTCTAAAAAATGAAATTGTTCCTCACTGATACATAATCCCTCAATATTAGAATTTCTCAAATTAAATTCCTGAAAATGTTAGAATTAAAAGGTATTTTCTAAAACAGAAAAGGATTTCACAGAAAAGGAAATTTGGGAAACTCCACATAGAGCACTTCCTTTTACATACTAACAGAGTATACAGAAAGCTTATGATTTAAAAACAAACAAAAAGGTTAAAGTCGCTTAAGCCAGCATTGCCTAAAATATTTAAAAATTAAGAACTTTTTTTTTGTAACAACTATGAATATTCTGCTGAACTCTGAGAAATTCTGCTCTATATCTCTTTTAATGACAAATGTGTATTCTGCTATAATGAAGCATTATAATGTTTTTAAGCATAAAAAATGTTAAGGCTTTTATCTTAATGTTAACAAACTATACATAGCTCTATAACTGTTTTTGCATATCTGTAATCATTTTATGATTATTTTTAGAAACGTTTCAGAAATATGTAGTTATACATGCATATCAAAAAGTATGTGTACATAGATACATAGATATAAAGTGTATGTATTTTTATGCTAAATTCGCTTTGACTATATCCTACTATATGCTTCTACCAGTAGTGAAAGAGATTTTTCATGTTTCTGAGCTTTTTACTATCTGGATACCTTTTTAGTATTTTTATAATATATTTTACCAACAGATGTTCCTCATTCTGTGCGTCTTTACACATTTTTTTTCTTTCAGTCTTTTTCTAGTATTCATTCTGCTTTATTCTTCTAGGTAGTTTTTTTACTGAATCTAAAGTGTTTCCCAGGCCCTTAGCATAATAAACTACTCTAAATGAGAAAAAAAATGGCAATATTTGCCTTAACATCTTACATGTATACCTGAATTTGGCAAGAATTGATGTCATCACAACAATGAGAATGTCATCTAAGAACATGATTTTTTTATTAGGTAAAATGAGTATTTTTAATTTCATCCATATATTCCTAGTTTTAATACTCTTTCTGTATTCATTATCAAATGCCTAGATGTATAATTAGACTAGAGTCAGACAGCTAACTTAGCTGGATTAATTAACAGATCTTTCCAAGGAATTTAAAACTTATCAAACTTTTCCTTTATGTTTCGTGGTTTTTGTATCTTTCAGATAAAATCCTCACCTACCCTGAATTTATAAAATAATTTACATTTTTCTTAGCTTTAAATTTTGTTCTTAATGTTTAGATCTTAGTCCTTTTGGACTATTTTTTGTGATACAAGTTACACACTGATTTTCCTCCTTATGAAAAGTCCATTATCCAAACAATTTACTGCAAAAAACACATCTTATCTACTAATTTCTAATGATAATCTTATTATAAGACAAATTACATGTGCACAAAAAGTAAATTACCTAAATATATTCTGCCTTACTATTCCCTTTTGTTGTCTATTGCATCCTTCTGTGCCAAAATTCTTTCAATTTTCATAATTACACTATAATAAATCTTGATACCCAGTAAAGAACTTACCTCCTTCTTTTTCCAAGTTTTCTTGCCTATCTCCGAACTGTTAATTTTCTATATGTATTTTTCAAGTCATTTTTCACAATTTTCACAAAACTTTAATAAGACTTTGCCACAACTTGCATTGACTATATTAATCTAGAAAGAAATTATATTTTATAATACTCAGTTTATCTATGAACATGATACATCTCTTCATGTATTGTTTTTGAAACAATGTCTCACTCCAGTTGCCCAGGCTGGAGTGCAGTGGCACGATCTCGGCTCACTGCAGCATCAGCCTCCCAAGATCAGATCCTCCCACCTCAGCTTACTGAGTAGCTGTGACTACAGGTGTGTGCCACCACACACCGCTAATTTTTGTATTTTTAGTAGAGACAGGGTTTCACCAGGTTTCCCAGGCTGGTCTCGAGCCCCTGGACTCAAGGAATCCACCTGCCTGGGCCTCCCAACATGCTGGGATTACAGACATGAGCCATGACACCTGGCCAAAGAATTTTTTAAATTTACATATTGTAATTTACTGTTGGCAATAGATACACTGTTTTTTGGTAAATCGATGTTATATGAAGAACCTTGTTATCTTTTCTTATGCTAATAGTACCTGTTGATTCTTTAGGAGTGTTCATTTAAGCAGTGACATCATCACATCATTATACTGTAAATTTGTCTATCTCATTCCAGTTCCTAGATGAGTTTATATTGCTTGTCCTATTACATTAGCTAAAAGTGCTAGAACAATGTTGAGTTCTACAGATGTTAAAGAGCATTTCTGCCTTATTTAAGATATCAGTGAACTTTAAAGTAGTTTTCCAATTCTGTGAAGAAAGTCATTGTTAGCTTGATGGGGATGGCATTGAATCTATAAATTACCTTGGGCAGTATGGCCATTTTCACGATATTGATTCTTCCTACCCATGAGCATGGAATGTTCTTCCATTTGTTTGTATCCTCTTTTATTTCATTGAGCAGTGGTTTGTAGTTCTCCTTGAAGAGGTCCTTCACATCCCTTGTAAGTTGGACTCCTAGGTATTTTATTCTCTTTGAAGCAATTGTGAATGGGAGTTCACTCATGATTTGGCTCTCTGTTTGTCTGTTATTGGTGTATAAGAATGCTTGTGATTTTTGTACATTGATTTTGTATCCTGAGACTTTGCTGAAGTTGCTTATCAGCTTAACGAGATTTTGGGCTGAGACAATGGGATTTTCTAGATATACAATCATGTCGTCTGCAAACAGGGACAATTTGACTTCCTCTTTTCCTAATTGAATACCCTTTATTTCCTTCTCCTGCCTCATTGCCCTGGTCACAACTTCCAACACTATGTTGAATAGGAGTGGTGAGAGAGGGCATCCCTGTCTTGTGCCAGTTTTCAAAGGGAATGCTTCCAGTTTTTGCCCATTCAGTATGATATTGGCTGTGGGTCTGTCATAGATAGCTCTTATTATTTTGAGATACGTCCCATCAATACCTAATTTATTGAGAGTTTTTAGCGTGAAGGTTGTTGAATTTTGTCAAAGGCCTTTTCTGCATCTATTGAGATAATCATGTGGTTTTTGTCTTTGGTTCTGTTTATATGCTGGATTACATTTATTGATTTGCATATATTGAACCAGCCTTGCATCCCAGGGATGAAGCCCACTTGATCATGGTGGATAAGCTTTTTGATGTGCTGCTGGATTCGGTTTGCCAGTATTTTATTGAGGATTTTTGCATCAATGTTCATCAAGGATATTAGTCTAAAATTCTCTTTTTGGTTGTGTCTCTGCCCAGCTTTGGTATCAGGATGATGCTGGCCTCATAAAATGAGTTAGGGAGGATTCCCTCTTTTTCTATTGATTGGAATAGTTTCAGAAGGAATGGTACCAGTTCCTCCTTGTACCTCTGGTAGAATTCGGCTGTGAATCCATCTGGTCCTGGACTCTTTTTGGTTGGTAAGCTATTGATTATTGCCACAATTTCAGATCCTGTTATTGGTCTATTCAGAGACTCAACTTCTTCCTGGTTTAGTCTTGGGAGAGTGTATGTGTCAAGGAATTTATCCATTTCTTCTAGATTTTCTAGTTTATTTGCGTAGAGGTGTTTGTAGTATTCTCTGATGGTAGTTTGTATTTCTGTGGGATCGGTGGTGATATCCCCTTTATTATTTTTTATTGTGTCTATTTGATTCTTCTCTCTTTTTTTCTTTATTAGTCTTGCTAGCAGTCTATCAATTTTGTTGATCCTTTCAAAAAACCAGCTCCTGGATTCATTAATTTTTTGAAAGGTTCTTTGTGTCTCTATTTCCTTCAGTTCTGCTCTGATTTTAGTTATTTCTTGCCTTCTGCTAGCTTTTGAATGTGTTTGCTCTTGCTTTCGCCAAGTCAATCCTAAGCCAAAAGAACAAAGCTGGAGGCATCACGCTACCTGACTTCAAACTATACTACAAGGCTACAGTAACCAAAACAGCATGGTACTGGTACCAAAACAGAGATATAGATCAATGGAACAGAACAGAGCCGTCAGAAATAACGCCGCATATCTACAACTATCTGATCTTTGACAAACCTGAGAAAAACAAGCAATGGGGAAAGGATTCCCTATTTAATAAATGGTGCTGGGAAAACTGGCTAGCCATATGTAGAAAGCTGAAACTGGATCCCTTCCTTACACCTTATACAAAAATTAATTCAAGATGGATTAAAGACTTAAACATTAGACCTAAAACCATAAAAACCCTAGAAGAAAACCTAGGCATTACCATTCAGGACATAGGCATGGGCAAGGACTTCATGTCTAAAACACCAAAAGCAATGGCAACAAAAGACAAAATTGACAAATGGGATCTCATTAAACTCAAGAGCTTCTGCACAGCAAAAGAAACTACCATCAGAGTGAACAGGCAACCTACAGAATGGGAGAAAATTTTCGCAACCTACTCATCTGACAAAGGGCTAATATCCAGAATCTACAATGAACTCAAACAAATTTACAAGAAAAAAACAGACAACCCCATCAAAAAGTGGGCAAAGGACATGAACAGACACTTCTCAAAAGAAGACATTTATGCAGCCAAAAAACACATGAAAAAATGCTCATCATCACTGGCCATCAGAGAAATGCAAATCAAAACCACAGTGAGATACCATCTCACACCAGTTAGAATGGCAATCACTAAAAAGTCAGGAAACAACAGGTGCTGGAGAGGATGTGGAGAAATAGGAACACTTTTACACTGTTGGTGGGACTGTAAACTAGTTCAACCATTGTGGAAGTCAGTGTGGCGATTCCTCAGGGATCTAGAGCTAGAAATACCATTTGACCCAGCCATCCCATTACTGGGTATAAACCCAAAGGACTATAAATCATGCTGCTATAAAGACACATGCACACGTATGTTTATTGCAGCACTATTCACAATAGCAAAGACTTGGAACCAATCCAAATGTCCAACAATGATAGACTGGATTAAGAAAATGTGGCACATATACACCATGGAATACTAAGCAGCCATAAAAAATGATGAGTTCATGTCCTCTGTAGGGACATGGATGAAATTGGAAATCATCATTCTCAGTAAACTATGGCAAGGACAAAAAACCAAACACTGCATGTTCTCACTCATAGGTGGGAATTGAACAATGAGAACACATGGACACAGGAAGGGGAACATCACATTCTGGGGACAGTTGTGGGGTTGGGGGAAGGGGAAGGGATAGCATTAGGAGATATACCTAATGCTAAATGACGAGTTAATGGGTGCAGCACACCAGCATGGCTCATGTATACATATGTAACTTACCTGCACATTGTGCACATGTACCCTAAAACTTAAAGTATAATAATAATGAAAAAAGATATCAGTGAAAATATTTTTGTATTGATCCTCTATACCAGACTCCATTATATATTGCCCAGAAACACTTTCTATAGGTTTCATTGGTTTGTTTTGTTTTTTGCCAACTGTGTTCTTAAAGATGTCAGAGAGGTGGTTTCTCTTTTGAGGAGTCTCACTGAGCTGTGACAGGCCTTTGAAACTGGAGTCATATCATTCTGATACTCTGCCTCTTGCTGGGCTGGCTGGACCCTGCTTGAAGCTGCTCCAAGGAGATGAGTGCAGCCTGACTGCATTTCCCCTCAGTCATTAAGCCTGATACTACCCACCTCTCTTTTCCTGTCTTGGGATTTACCTGCAGCAGCTGAAGTGTGAGAACCTGCAAGAGTCTGTCAACATCCACACAAATGCACACGAAGTTGCAGGCTGCTGGCCAAAAACAGACTGCTGGTCATCCTTGCTTTTTTTTTTTTTCAATGTGCCCTGCTTATGCCATAAGTGCTGTTGCTGCTCTCTCGGGATCTTGCTACACCAGGGGCTGGTTAGAGAGGCTAGAAAATATAGTTGAGAAATGCACAGAGGGGACTCCCTGGAAACTCTGACCAATGAAAGATGAGAGCCAATATATACATTCTTTTTATTTCTTCCCTTGGATAGAGACAGAAATTTCACAGTCTCCTTTTAAACACATACGAAGAAATCAACTGTGATTATGAAGTGACAGCCAGCTAAATATGTCTTGTATTTGCTCTCTTCCTTTTTTTGCCTAACTCATCCTTTACTTCCATTCCTGCTTCCATGGTAATGCAGGCTCAAATAAATTACTAGGATACAAGATTACTTCAAGCCTCTTTTCTGTGGAACTCATAATATGATAAGCATTTGTTACAAGATTGCCTGTAGTTGTTTAGGGGATAAATTATATTAGGGAAAGAAAGTCTTTCTTTAGTTGGTTAAATTTTCTATTATAATTGGGTACTAAATTTATTTAAAGAGTGTGTTCACAACTATTTTATAAACATATTATTTCCCTCTTAAATCTATTAGTGAGTTGATTATCATAATATATTACCATGGGTTAAACCATCTTCACATTTCTGGAATCAGCATTTCTTTGGTATGTCATATTTTTTTTTTCATGATGGTAGCCAGATCTAAAATTTTATAATATAGCAATAATACATAGGTATTATTTTTACAGTCGGGTGTTTAGATTTTTAAATAACTTAATGTTTTTCTTTATTTTTCTTTTTCCATTTTCTTTCTTCTTTTTTTAATTATTATTATACTTTAAGTTTTAGGGTACATGTGCACAACGTACAGGTTTGTTACATATGTATACATGTGCCATGTTGGTGTGCAGCACCCATTAACTCGTCATTTAGCATTAGGTATATCTCCTAATGCTATCCCTCCCCCCTCCCCCCACCCCACAACAGGCCCCGGTGTGTGATGTTTATTATAAATAAAATTTTAAATATAACCTACAACTCTTTTGGAAAAGATAATTTGTGAGATAGTATAATAATACAAGAAAATTTCTTTCATTATTTTTGACATATGCAAGAGTATTTCTTCACAAGAAAATTTTGATAATCTATACTTTTTAGAAAATTGCACATTAGAATTTTTTATTTTTATCACAAAACTGTTTTAATATTTTTATAGAAGAAAATTTCTCTTCTCTCAAGATCAATTTATTTTTGTTTTATCACTTATCTGTACTATATTTTAGTTTTAACTATTCTCCACTTTTATGTTTATTGACATCTATGGTTAAGAAAGTTCAGCTTGGGAGATGACAGTAGATTGGATTTTTAGCCCCAATTATTTATTCCCTTTAATAGTATTACTCACAGCCTTTGCATGTAACTTTGCTGTGCTCTCCCACTGTGGGCAAAGTATAATTTCCATGCCCATTAATGTTGTACTTGTCTGTGAATTGCTTTAGAATATTAGCAGAATGTATATGAGCAGAGATCTTAAAAATGCATTATCAGTTTGTCTGGGCCTTCTTGTATTTTGATGATCACCATGAGAATAGCCACAGCTACACTTCAAGTACAGCTGCCCCTTCTGCCTGAGACTCAGAATGAGACTGTGGATCATGACAGAATCAAATTCCAAGTCTAGGTAGGAGTTGTCTGGTATTAGTTGTCTCATATAATTAGATTTAAGGGTATTCATGACCCTGTTTCCAACGGTAAAGGAGACACTGGCAATCCCTGGCATGCGGTGACACAACAGTTATTTAAATTATTGTCCATAGATGATCACTTACAAAATAACTTATAATCAAGTTCCTATAGAAGACAAGACATTGAGTGAGGCTGCCATAGAACATTTTAGTGAACATAAGTAGAATAGGGTTCGTTGCTGACTTATAAGTGTGCTAGAAAACTTGGAGAAAGAAAAATTATGAACTTAAGGCTTTGAATTACTAGCTTCGGATTATGTAAACTAACATAACATTCCTACGACTGTCTTCAAAAAAGTCCTTATCTCCTATAGCAGAAGTACTAAAATTTCTGAAAAGCAAACTCAAATCAATTTCTGCAATAAATAAATCATCTTGAAAATTGTATTTACAACTTCACAACTTCCTGTGTTAAAGTCAGGAAATTTGCTAAAAAAGAAATAGGAACTTAAAAATTGGGGTGGGCCTGTAATGGCAGATCCCAAAGAATCTGGAGGATCTTGAACCCCTAAATTCTGCTGGTGCACCGTTGCCAGGAGATGCACTCTTCCTCCCCTCGCTGAGAAGGTTAGTCTTCCTTCCCTTGCCTTAAAAACCTGTAATGAGTTACCTTGAGCTGTTTGGCTTACAGAGGAATGCTGATACCACTCTATATATATCCCTGCCTCCTCTTATGTTTAAATATATGATAACACTCAATTCCCAGCAGGCCCCAAATGACAAGATACAAAATGTGATACAGGACAAAGTAAAATTCAGACCAAAAGACTTGTAAGATTTTGTGAATTTTATACCAACACACACCTGAGATATATGAGTAGAAATGGATCTTATGAATGGGTAGATATAACAATATAATACATATAATGTGAATTATGATAAATATTATGAGCTCACTAACAGATATTACCCCCAAAAAAATGGCAAACAAGAGAGCGAAACAAGTGGTTTGTGTCCAGAGCAAAATAGTGGAATGTTTTTTCTACTTTAATATTGAAATAAAGAAGTAATATTTAAAAATAGTATAAAATATTTTTGAGTTTTGAAAAATAGTATATAGTATTCAACATACTCAATACTGGAGACAAATTTGTTAGAATAAAGTCACTCAAATAAATCTTATGATACATCAGCCAACTTTGGCAGTTTACGGATACAATCAAACAATGCCAAAATGTTTTTTATCAATAATTCTTTTAATTCTCCCATCAGTAGCATATACTCCAATTCAACTGAAATACATTAAAAGAGAATCAAGTATTGTAAGAAGCCAAGAGAAAGTTTTCATCTGCTCTGAGGGTTCATTGAAAATAAACTGACAATAGATAAATAAGAGAAAACACAAGTTTTTATTAATGTGCATATATAAATGACAGCCATATACCAAGTATGAGACCCAAAGCAGGGGCCAGACAATTGACTCTTAAGTATACTCTTAATTGGGGAGAGGAAAGCAAGGGATGTAAGAATAAATGATTTCCAGAGGAAATGCATAATCTAAAGAGCAATGGCCTAGGACAAATTTCCTCTGAGCTCTAGGGGAGGTGGAGGGAAGGTTAGGGCCAGAACTTCACTGTGAACAAAGGTTGTCTTATTATGCAGATGAAGTCACCCAGGGAATCTCTTGGAGCTGCCTTCAAAAGAACAACTGAAAAGTCTGTCTAGGCATATTGACAACTCCAAGTATCTTATCCAGTGGTTATTTGATCCAGTATCTTATCCTGGTCATTTGATGAGATTCCTAGACAAGGAGTCTTTTAAAAATTGCATTTCTTCTGGAAAGAAATTTTCTTAATCAGATAAGGAAATTCCAGAGAGAATTCCCTCTGGTGCTTCAGGAAAGAGGATCAGAGACACAGACAGAAGGGAAAACTTCAGACAGAGAATTTGAGGCTTCCTGTTTAGTCAAAGAGCGATATATTTTCAGTATCATTTTCTGAGCCCCAATAGTATACAGTTGTAGTTAGTTTCATGGTGCCATATTTCTTGCAGTGTGTCACATCTTCTGCTTAATTGTAGAGTTTTAATAGAAAAATCCTTCATACATGTGGGCACAAATTTTATATTAACATAAAAACATTTTCATTCCTATCAAACAGTTCTGCCAATCCCAGGCAGTAACACTCGATCTGTAATTTTGATTGAAGGGCTGGATTCAACTTTGATTACATGCAAATAGGAGAAAAAGTAACTTGCACTGATTTGCAATTTTCATTCTGCCCTAAAGCTTGGGTCACTTGGATCCAAATGCCAACTTTCCTAAATCTCTGCTCAAAAAAGAGAGGTGGAAAACTTTCCAGTATAATTCATGGGGGTGCTTAGGTGTAGCTTTTCTCACTTGAAAACCAGAGAACCAGAGAAGGTACAGAAACCTGGAAAAATGATTATAAGTCTTTTCTAGAACATTAGAAACCAATTAGGTCAGTTGTTAAAAATCAAAACTAGAATTTTATGTGACATATAGAAAGAAAATTTCCTGACTTTAACACAGGAAGTTGTGAAGTTGTAAATACAATTTTCAAGATGATTCGTTTATTGCAGAAATTGATTTGAGTTTGCCTCATTTTTGAACTCTTTATAAATACAACCTTAATATATTTTCTTCTTGTTTATGACTTCTTTTTTTAAGCATTATGTTGATAAAATGTATCCACTTTGTTGCATGTACATGTGGTTCATTGCTTTCAATTTCTCTATATTGTTCCATTATATGAATTTGCTATAATTATTAATCCTTCCTTAATTTATAGGTATTTGAGCTGTTTCTTTTTAGAACAATTACAAATAATACTACCATGGGCATTATTTTACATGTCATTCAATGCACTTCTCTTGGATATATAGCTAGAGTATATGCATTGAATTTGATACTCAGACTCTCTTCACAGACAATGAAAAGGTTAAATAATAATTAAACTAAATTTAATCTTTTCACCTTCACCCCAGTCTATATGTTATTGGCATACATTTTATTCATTACCTCTTTTAACACAAGATATTATTGTTCTATACAGTCAATAGTCCTTTTAGTTACGCACATTTGCCATTGCCTTTATTTTCATTCCTTCTTGCATCTTCAACTTTGTATTTTCAGTAACTTTTTTCTATCTGAAAATGTATCCTTTTGAATTTCTGTTTATGAAATGTCTGCTACTCCTTTGAAACGCACTGAAAATATATTACATTGAATTCTAGCTTCCATGCTTTCTGCTGAAAATCAGTTGTCATTCAAACAGTTGATCCTTTCAACATAATCTATCTTTTTTCTCAGGCTACTTTTCAAATTTTCTATTGGTCTTTGGTTTCCTGTAGCATTTATATGTTAATTTGTTTTCAGTTATCTTGTCTGAGGTTTGTTGGTTTCTCGAATGTATGGATTGATACATTTTATTATTTTTGGAAAGGTCTCAGCAACATTACTTCTTCCCTACATTCTCTCTTCTAATCTTCCAGAACTCCAAAAGTATGTTAAGCCTTTCTGACTGTAGCCTCAATGCTCTTCCCCTTTAGCCTGTATTTTTCCATCTCTTTGTCTAATTATGCTTCACTCTGTGTAGTTATCTTCCAATTCACTAATTCTTTATTCTACCATTTCTAACTGATTGTTAAATCTAATTGATTGTTAAATATTGAATTCTTAATATTAATTTTTTCAGTCATTATTTTGGTGGTAGAAAGAAACTTTCACTCTATTTCTGTAAGTTATTTCTATGGATAAATAAAATACTCATAATACCAAATTCTTAAAGATTTTTTAAAAACTTTTAGTAAACTTGACAAGAAAATACCAATAATTCTCTTCTTTTACCCACACTTTGGTCAAAGAAAACACCAATTTTTTTTTTTTTTTTTTTTAGACGCAGGCTTGCTCTGTCACCCAGGCTGGAGTGCAGTGGCGCGATCTTGGCTCACTGCAAGCTCTGCCTCCTGGGTTCACACCAGTCTCCTGCCTCAGCCTCCCGAGTAGCTGGGTCTATAGGCACCCGCCACCATGCCCGGCTAATTTTTTTGTATTTTTAGTAGAGATGGGGTTTCACCATGTTAGCCAGGATGGTCTCGATCTCCTGACCTCGTGATCTGCCTGCCGCAGCCTCCCAAAGTGCTGGGATTACCCACACTTTGGTCAAGAATAGAATAAAAGTGTGAGTCTAATCATTCTTAACCAAGTTGAAAAGAACTAAAAATAAATTTGATGCAAGTAGCAGCTTCTCTGTTGCTGCATCTTCACCACAGACTCTTATTACATGAAAATTCAAGGAGCAGAACTTGATCTCAAAATGCCATTACCATAAATAAAAGATAATACATCAATCACAGCAACACCATCTTATAACATGGCTTAATATTTAAGTAGTCCTTTTACTCTCCTTACACTGTTAGACATGGGGCTTTGTGCCTTACAAGTCCATCATCAAGAGAGTATGATATTGAAGATGTGAGGGCTTATTTCTGTTTGGTTCATTGACTTTTAAAGCCTCTCTTTTGAAATAAGAGTTTAATTATAAAATGGTTTATTGACTTTATCTCTCTTATTATACAAATGCTATTTACACTAAAAACTAAATATTTCTGGTAGTTAGCCTCTGATGAGTTTAAGATTATTTATAAATCATTTGTTCAAGCAATGCATTTTAAGTAAAAATACACTCAACTTCTAACTCTAAATGTATTAAGTTTCACATAAGCCTTGCTCTTTAATAATGCAACTTACCCACAATAATAATCTTTAGGAAATTACCTAGACATTCTCCAAATCGTGCATGTAAACATTTAAAAAACAAATAGTTAAATGAAATATATGATGATGATAGTGGTGGTGGTGGTGATGATGATATTAATAGCTAAATGAGAGAACCCTACCTGATAAATGTGATAGATGTGACCTCACTCTAATTTCCTGAATGGAAGAGTTCATTTTGTCTGGAGAAAACAACAATTCTTCCCTATGGCCTTATCATTCTTACACCATTCTCTGCATCAGGGCTTAACCTGGAAGAATATTTTCACCTACTACTTCATGAAGACTAATATAAAACCAACATACTTCCCATGATTTACCAGCTATTTTTTCCCTTTATTCCATTTTTAAAATTATGGTAAAAGTTACCTCAAACAACAGTGCTGGGTTTTTTTTCTTTCATATGGACATATCCATTTCCTCTATTAAAATAATACATGATCTTCATTTCATATTTTAGTAACATCATTTGCAAGCAAAATTCTCTTAACTGCTTCATTACATTCCCAGCTACTGTGATTACATCTGGGTTATTTTATTACAGTAGTCAAAGTAGCACTACACATCCACAAACATATCCAAGCATTACACTGATATATATTATGCTTTAACAAACTTACTTAATTATACTTAACATTTTATAATTTTTTCCCTACTGTATTTATAATTTTTTGTTCAAAAAATTACATTACACTTTTTTCTGTGATTTTATATATATTTATTCATATTGCCTTGTATATCATATGTGCATTTATTTATATTCCATTATAAATGTTTATCTTTTTCTCCAAGTCTCACATACTCTATTGTTATTAGCAGGCATTATTATAGTAGAGACATTTCCTTGAATCAGACATTATGTCCGGCAACTTTGAGAAAATATGGTTAGTGAATATTTTAAGGAAAATTTCAGAATTATTTAACAACACTTAAAAGGACTCCAAAAAAGAAATTGTTAAATATAAAATTAACTTATGAGGTCTTCTATTAAGTTATTTCTTTCATAGATGCAGAAAGTTAAATTTTGTCTATGAAGTTAAAGGTTTTGCTTTTTTCAGAGAGAATTTAAGATGCCACAGTAGTCTCAAGGAGCTCTGTCTTAGCTTGTTGTTTCCCAAAATTATAATAAATGAGTGGCCTGAGGGAAAGGCAAGTAAAATCATCATAATAAACGTCATGACCTGATAATTCTCTACCTCAAGGAAGATCCAATCTCCTATTAAAGTGGAAATAAAGTTAATAAAAAAAAGGAGGAGGAAGGCTATCACCATTTTCATGGCCCTTTTATGGGCCTCTGTGCTGGAGTCCCTTGAGCCCAGAGAGTTGAGCTGCAAATTCTTGGTGTGTCTCACTAAGGATATAAATAAAAGGAGCAAAGAGGTCAGAGTCAGAAGAAAGGGAATAACGTATGTCAAGCTGAGAAGCCTAAGGCCTTGAAGACAGACTATTTTACTTGTATCTGAGTGCAAAGTCATGTTTTTTTCACAACTCACTAATGGCATTGGACATAAAAAGGTAAACAAACGATAAGAACAAAGACCGCAGGAAAAGCACAAGAACCACTCTGTTCATTCTCCACTTCAGCCAGGCAAAAAATAAGCGGGAGAAATTGGCTATCTTAAGCAAGTAGAAAATGCTTAGGCAGGTGGCAAACTAGATACTTAACTGATTAATTAATGCCCAAAGAATAGTAAACAGTTTTACTAGTTTACGGATGGTATATAGATGAGGGGACAATACCATTATAAATGAATCAAATAGTATTAAATACAGTCGAATGATTCTGACTATAGCCAAGCTGGTGAGGATGAAATCAGCTGATGAGACCTTCCAACTCTTGGCCCACTCAATGCAGTTTACCAGTCCAATGAGCCCGTTTCCCAGCATTCCTAAGACAAGTCCTCTTGTTGCCACCACCAGAAAGAAAATATTAATTCCAACGAACATTTCTATGAAAATATTTCCGATATTCTACTTCACTGACAGCTTTATAGTCAAACAGTTGCAGATGGGCATGCATTTATGATGCTTTCTATCTATGTTTTCATCACAATTTCAGAAGGCATAGCCAAATTCAGATATATGTTCAGAGATCTTCATGAAAAAAATAGTTTGTTCTATTTATATTGTAACTCCGGTACTAAACCAAATTGTTAAGAGATACAAAGCTTCATGAATACCTTTCTTACCACTTTCAGTCAGCTACTATATAATTTCTAGAACAAACACTAATGATGTCTATTTATCTTCAGCATCAGCCACAATTTTCCATTCATGGTAATGACTAAAGAAGCGAAGTCGAGTATGTAAACATGCAAAAATGAGAGATCATTTTTCACTAATTTGCATTTTCATCTCCCCTGAGCCATACCACTTGAATACAAATATCTTAAATTTTGAATAGAAATTGTTAGAAATAACATTTATTTCAGTAATTATTTGTCTCTCATTCAGTAACATCCTTCTACATACCAAGCATTTTTGTTGATGCAATATGATTTATAGAAATAAGTCCCTAAAATTATTCATAATTCAAGAATTTCACCCAAGTCCTAAAACTATTAATATAAATAATTTGTATGCAATGTTACAGGAGCTAAAAAGAATAAACAAAATATACCAGAATTAAAGACGAGGAAGATACAAATGCTTCAGTGAAGAATTGACTATAGTTCTCTGAGGTTAGGGACATTCAGTTTGAACTGGAATTTTTGTTTGTTTGTTTGTTTGTTTGTTTTTTTGAGACAGAGTGAGACTCCATCACACAGGCTGTACTGCAGTGGCACAATCTCAGCTCACTGCAACCTCCGCCTCCCAGGTTCAAGCGATCCTTCTGCCTCAGCCTCCCGAGTAGCTGGGACTATAGGCGAGCACCACCACGCCCAGCTGATTTTTGTATTTTCAGTAGAGACGGGGTTTCACCATATTGGCCAGGCAGGCTGGTCTCAAACTCCTGACCTCGTGATCCTCCTGCCTCAGCCTCCAAAAGTGCTGGGATTACAGGTGTGAGCCACCACGCCTGGCCCTGGAATTCTTTAGAATTTATGAAAAAGAAGAAAAGAACTAATATTCAAGACAGGTTTAAGGGCACTTTCAAACTACAAAAGTGACATAAACAAGCTATACCATGCATCTATAGGCAGGAACTTTTTTGTTTCACATTTGTATGGCTATTTTAAGCAAAATGCACTCTCCAACTTCCATGTCCTAAATTTCATGTTCTACTCTTTTTTCTAAGCATATAGACTATATTTCCAAGCCTCTCTTACAGATGCAATGTGACTAAAAGCTGAACAATGTAATGTGAGTGGAAATTATGTGCACTACTTCCAGGCCCGTCCCATAAAAATTTGCCATGCATCCTCCTCCATGCACCTTTTCTGCTCCTGGCTGCCTGGAATAAGGTGACCCCAAGGCAATCTTGGAAGCTATGTGTTAAAGGTCACCAAGTGATCAGCCTATTTTAGTGAATAACTACATAGGGAAGGTTACTCAGACATATCAGTACCATTAAAAGAACAAAATTAAATCATATTGTTTGAAACGTTTTACATTTTGGAGCTATTTGTGATGCAGTTTGTCTACCCAGTCTAACACAGAAATTGGAACTGAAAGTGGGAGAATTTGTTTAGAGGATTTGGATAGTGAAGGAACAGATCTTGGAGACTGGCAACACGATGGCACATGTGGTGTATAAGCAAACTTTTTAAAAACATTATATGCAATAACTTAGAAGAAGGCCATGTTTAATGAGTCTCTGGCCCTAGGGGAAGTGGTTGATGAAAGTCAAAACGGTGTGCCAGGGTTGTTCTCCAAAATATTTTAGCAAGATATTATGAGAAGATGAGAAAGGAAAAGAATTGACTGGTTTGCAAATAAGAATTAAGAGCAAGAGAGAGTTCAGAAATCTAAGGTTTCAGAGGGGTATAAAATCTCACCGGTTTGGGGTATCAAACAGCAATAAGTGAGACTGAAAAAAAAATTAAGAGGCCCATTAAGACTTTTCAATTAAACATAGAGACCATTGTTTCGAATGCCTTCAAGATAACTGCCACCAAAGTGAAAGAAAGAGGCCTGGGATAAGTAAGGGAAAAATGTTTATCTATTTTCTTATTTATACAGACATGAAACATTTGTGTAAGGACAACCATTTTGGAAATTTTTGTAGGGTAAGATGGAACTGACCAGAAGCAAGTAGATTAAAAACTTTATATGTTGCTGAGGATATTGCATTTGTCAAATAAATTATGAGTGATTTAATTAAATATGTGATATTAAAATGACTCTCTGGCTTCCAAACTTGCATTATTGAAAAGACTTGAAATACGTACCTTCTCCAGGAAGGTACCCTTCTCATCATCCTTTTCAGATGCAGCCAAGGAGGATAATAATGAAGAACATCCAGAGGGTAAAGCCAGGATCCTCAGAAAATGATGGATAAGGGAGTTTCTCCCAGAGTCCAGACACAGGGACTAATCAGGAACTTCCCTGTAAATCCAGGGCAGGCGACTCCACATAGCCTATCAAGGAAGGTTTGTCACTGCTATGGCCAATCTACCATTGTATTCCTCCTGTTTTCTTTCTAAATGGGAGGAGTTTATTGTTGCCAGTCAGCCTGCCCCTAATCATCCACTTTATACTTTGAAGTGAAGATATATATATCTTGTGTTTTTTGTTTTCATTTATTCCCAGACCATGAGGGACTACATTTGGAAGTGGTAAACAGAACTGTCTATCACTCAGAAGCCCTGAACTTTAAGCTGATGTAACATAAGACTTTAATGCATCCCCAGGAAAGGAGCATAAGTGTGTTCTATATGTGGGAAGAAGGGTACATATGGTGATTTAAAAATAGGCATGAAGTCTGTGGCAGGTACTGTGTTGCTGACCAAAATCCTTGTTCTCCTCTTCCTGAGCACACATGAGACTACATTTCCCAGGATCCCATGCAGTTGGGTGTGACCCAGTGTCTGAGTTCTTGCCACTGGAGCTTGAGAAGTGATGTGTGAAAACTCTATGTCCCCAACAAATACAGCCTCACCCCAAACACACACATAAATACACATGCACACTTGTAATGAAGAATACCCCCTGGGCAACCATGGAAAAATGTGTTAATATTTGCGAAGACTTCTTTAGCCTGAGTCAATCAATAATTGCAGAGAGAAGGGATACATGGAACACTATTCAGCTGTAAAAAGAAATGAGAAAGATTGCTATATAGTACTATGAAGTGATACCTAATTATTAAATTATTTTAAAAGGAAAAATGCAGAACAATGTGTGTAGTATGTTCTATATTGTTTAAGAATGGTATTGTCAAAAGCTGACTTTAAAAAATGGTTACGTATAGTGTTCACTTCAGCAGCACATATACTAAAGTTGGAACAATTACAGAGAATATTAGCATGGCCCCTTCCATATCTTAAATTTTTAAAAGCAATTAAAAAAGGAAAAAAAATTGGTTACCTATAGGAAAGGAAACACAGAGCATATGACAGGAAAGAAGCTAGGCTTCTCTGAATACATTTTGTTTTGAAGTTTTACCCCTGGTACCATGAACATTTATTAAATAATCACTAAAAATTAAAATAAAGGAATATTAATCCTGAAAAATAAAAATAAAAACAAATGAACCTGTCTGATGGATGATTTAACTAAAAGAGGAATTGTTTCAAATGATCCTACAACATAGTTTTTTTATCTCCAGAAGGATATATGCTAAGATAAATCTGAAAGTGTTTTAATAATTAAGCTGTTAGAATAATCTAATCTGAGTACTGTTAGTTTGAAACTATTATATGCGCTGATGCACACAATTAATTATGTGAATGTTGTGTGGTTACGGACCAAGATTTTCAGCATGAGAAAAAAAGAAGTAAGAATATAAAATCTGAATTGGAAATATCAACATGAACTTATTTTTAAAATCTATTCTGGTAGTTTAAGCACAAAAGACATTTATTAAAGTGTATCAGAGAATCATTACAAAGTCTGCAGAAGCAGATTCAAAGCTAAGCATCTAGATACAATGTGTGTATCAGATTTTTTACTCTACCATATACCATCCCCAAGTTTCTAAAATCTCACATTTGCCACAGGGACATAAAAAAGAAGCTGGAATAACATTTCCCAGACCCCATGGTCAATTAAATTCCCCCTTAAAAAAAGACACTTTGAGGTAAAGCTATTATTTCTTGGGCAGCAATCTAGACTGGCACTTAGGTATCTACAGACTACAAGCATAAGGGTTGGATAGCTACAAATATACTCCTAGGAATCACCCACTTTGAGGCCAGAGGCACCTGATATCATCAGTAGCTGTGATGGTTAATTTTACATATCAACTTGACTGGGTTAAAGAATACCCGTATAACTGGTAAAACATTATTTCTGGGTGCCTCTGTAAAGGTGTTTCTAGAAGAGATGAGCATTGGAATCTGTAGACCGAGTAAAGATCTGCCCTCACCAATGTAGGTAGGCATCAACCAATCTGATGAGGGCCCTAATAGAACAAAAAGCTGGAGGAAGGGCAAATATACTCTCTTCTTGAGTGGAGACATCCATCTCCTCCTGCCCTTGGACATCAGAGCCCCTGATTCTCAGGCCTTTGGCCTCAAGACTACACCACTGGTTGTATCATGGGACTTCTCAGCCTCCATAATCAATTGAGCCAATCCCTATAATGAATCCCTTTTTACACATGTTTATTATGAAAATTGGCTCATAATTATGATTCTGTTGGATCTGTTTATTTGGAGATCCCTGACTAATACAGTAGCCTGCATAGAGGATGCAAGTAGCTGACACAAATGTTATTGCCTTCATGTACAACCCCTACAATTCTGGATTCCTGAAAGTAACCCTCCAGAATTAGTCTCACTTCCCCCAAAGCCTTCTAATGTTTGTATAGTGTCTAACTCCCTGATTAAACTTCTTCTAACTCAGAACATCTAAAATGTCTTGTTTTCTACCTAATGTGGTCTGAGGCTTCTCAAAAAAAAAAATGCTTCTTTTTGTAAATCAGCTTTACTGAAATATAATTTTTATAAATTATATGAAAAACCGTTTTAATTATACAGTTTACTTTTGGCAAATTATACAGATTAACTACCACAATCAAGATATAGAACATTTCCATCACCCCCAAAAACATCCTTGACATTCCTAGACCCCTTTGCAGTGCATTCTACCTCAGGCCTTTGGCTATCACTGATCTGTTTTCTGTCACTATATTTTTCTCTTTGTAGAAGAGAAAATGGTATCATGTTTGAACCTTTCTTTCACTTGGTAGAATGTTTAGAGTCATTTGTTGTTGCATGTAAAAGTGATTTATTCTTTTTTGTTGCTGAGTAGTATTCAATTTTACGGGTATGTTCTCATTTCTCTTAAGAATTGCTGGGTTTCATGGTATTTTTTACTTCATAAGAAACTATCAAACTCAACCAAAGAGGCTTTGCCACTTTGCATCTCCACCAGTAATGTATGAGGATTCTAGTTGCCCCCTATCCTCACAAATTAGTATTGCCAGTCTTCCCAATTTTTTCCTCCATCTCTTCTCTCCTTTTCTCCCTCTCTTTCATTTTTCTGTTTGAATAATATATAGTAATCTGCCTTCAATATTACTGATTCTGCCTCTGCCATCTCCAGTCTGTTGATAAATTGCCAAAGGAATCTTTCACCTCCAATACTGCTTTTCATTTCTAGCATTTTCATTTGAGCTTCTTATATAGTTTCTATCTCTCTGCTAAAATTTCCTGAGCATGTTATTTATCTTTTCCACTAGAATTTTAACACATTAATCATAATTATTTTTAAAGGTTCTGTCTGATAATTTCAACCTCTGGGCCATTATTTTCTCTTAACAATGCCTGGGTTTTTGTATGTGTGTATACATATTTACAGTAAATCCTGAGATAAATATTACCCCTCAAAAATGGGCTGCCTTCTTATTCTGTCAGACTACTAAGTGTGTGAAATTGTATCAATCCAATCTGTAGTTTATCTGTATTTAGATTCAAATGGCTCCAGTGGTGGAATGCCAGTAACTTGTGTTTTGGGGAAGACTGGAGTGCCAAAGGGATTCTCAGTGTTTGTGCTCAGCTTCAAGAGTCCACACATGCACTATAGAGAAGGCTCTTTCTACACTTGTGTCCCTCTCCCAGTATAGTGGCATTGCTTGTTAATCAGAGAAAAGTTCATGGTGGGGCAATGGGAGCTCTTTGTTCTTCTCTAGCAACTGCCCCTGTCTACGTACCTTTGCCTCAGACGTGGGACTTTTTTAATGCTCCTACCACTCCCACAACAAGAAAAACTGCCTAAAATCAGTGAAGGATCCTGGCTGAAAGCCGGTTTTCTCCCCCTCCTCCAGTAGCAACAGATGGCTTTCACCCAGTGTCAGCATGGGAGTCCAAGTCAGGCAATCTTCCTGCCCCTCCTTGAGTGTCAGTCAATCAATGTCTTGTATCAGTGGAGGGTCTTGATATCATCAGGTTAACTGCCCCCTTCCTGCAGCAAATGGGTTTTTCCTGGTGTTCATGCAGAGTCCAGGATTGGTGGGTTTTCTGCCTTCCTTCACTGGCAGATCCTTTCTGTTTAGCCAGCATGCAGCCCAGAGCAAGTGAGTTTCCTGGACTTCCCCTGTGACAACAGACTTCTAATATGTATTAATACAGACCTAGGAGTGCAGGCAGGTTTCTTACCCCACTCCTTGTGCCAATCAGCTATTGCCCAATATCAGAGTAGGGTCCAGGTTACAGTGTATTCCCTGCCCCTCACTCAGCAGCAGGCAGATTTTGCATAATAAAGATCCAGAACATGTGTAGTTTTCTTGCCTGTCCCCTAGCACTGGCCAACAACCACCTTTTACTCATGCAGGGTCCAGTGTAAATGGGCTTCTCCAGTTTCTATTACTCCACTTTAAAACTTAAGAAGATTTTGTTCCCATTTGTTTTAGATTTGCACTGCTGCTAAAACAAATTATCATAAATTTAGTGGCTTAAATACTACAAAATTATCTTAACAGTTCTACAGATCAGAAGTCTGGTATTTGTCTTACTAAGCTAAAATCAAGGTGTCAGCAAGGCTGCATTGCTTTCTGGAGGCTCTAGGAAGGAATCCATTTCCTTGCCATTCCCAGCTTCTAGAAACTACCTGCAGACCTTGGTTTGGGGCCTCCTTCATCTTCAAAGTCAGAAGTGTTGCATCTCTCTAACCCTAGTTAAGAAATAATCTGTTTTTAAGGGCTCATATGATTAGACTGAACCCACCTAAATAATATGGGATAATCTCCCATCTCAAGGTGCATACCAATAATCACATTTGCAAAATCTCCATGCCATATAATGTAACATATTAACTAGTTCCAAAGATTAAGTCATAGACATCTTTGGGAAAGCCATTATTCTGCCTCCTATACCGTGTACCATAAAGGAACTTTCCTAGGTTTCCTGTCTGTCCTCAACCTTTCCAGTAAGCATTCGGTAGAAGCCCAAGGGGAAAAGCTGGCAATTACAGACCACTCCTGTGTCTGGGGCTCCCAGGTATTCTAAACTGTCACATTAAACTACACTCAACCTTTGTAAGAATTTGTTAAAATTTCAGCCATTTTCTTGTTACCTACTGAAATGCCAGAGAACTCTTCTGGAGTTCTGCCACAGATGAAACAATTCATGTCTCCTATTTGGAAAGGCTTGTAATTTTTTTTTTTTTTTTTGATATGGAGTCTCGCTCTGTCACCCAGGCTGGAGTGCAGTGGCCCCATCTCGGCTCACTGCAAGCTCCACCTCCTGGGTTCACACCATTCTCCTGCCTCAGCCTCCCGAGTAGGTGGGACTACAGGCGCCTGCCACCACACCCAGCTAATTTTTTGTATTTTTAGTAGAGAGACGGGGTTTCACCATGTTAGCCAGGATGGCCCAGATCTCCTGACCTCGGGATCCACCCACCTCAGCCTCCCAAAGTGCTAAAATTCAGTTTACCTGCTCACCTTGTAACTTCAGTTCTAACAAGCTCAAAATAAATTATGACTTTGTAGCCTACCTAGTTTACTCTCTTTGTTAGAGCAGAAGCAACATTCTCTTTTGGTCTACTGCTAACTAAAAGGAAGTAAAATTCTCAAGCTGGTTTTCAAAATGCATGCATAAATGCATGCTATATCATATTCTTCCACATGCATGGTTTAAAAAATGTCTCAATTAAAAAATAGATTCATGTATAGGTGATTTTTTATGCACCTATGAAATCTGGCCTTGTAATGAAGAATACAATAGATCTTAATAATCTGACAATTATTAAATGTGTTTCATTGTCTAAAAGAGAGGTTTGAGGGGAGAAAAAGAAAAGTCTTTCTTGAAATATGGAAATAAGAGTATATATTTAGCTCTGAGTATGTTCTGGTAAGAATTACAATGATGTCAAACTATATGTACATATTAAAGCCATGGCAAAAAACGAAAGAAAGAAAGAAGAAAGAAAGAAAGAAAGAAAGAAAGAAAGAAAGAAAGAAAGAAAGAAAGAAAGAAAGAAAGAAAGAAAGAAAGAAAGAAAGAAAGAAGGAAGGAAGGAAGGAAGGAAGGAAGGAAGGAAGGAAGGAAGGGAAAGAAAGGAAAGAAAAGAAAGAAAAGAAAGAAAGAAAGAAAGAAAGAAAGAAAGAAAGAAAGAAAGAAAGAAAGGAAAAGAAAAGAAAAGAAAAAAGAAAGAAAGAAAGAGAAAAGAAAAATTAAAGAGTTTTTATGTGGGCTTCTACTTGATTTTATTTTTTCCTAATACAAAAAAGTTTTCGTCAAGGCTTTCAAGGAGCCAAGGTTTCCCATCATATCAAGAATCTAATCTTCCACAGCATTATCAGTGAGGTCTGACTCAGCTTGCTCTTCCCAAGAATCAGAATCAGAGTGATCAGAAAGGCAGAAGGCTCCTACTATCTGGAAAAGCATCATGCCCAGCAGGCTGTTTACCATAAAGTGAATCAAATCTGCTATAAAAGCTGAAAAACAGTACATGATAAAAAGAAAATAAGAAAGATTACGACTCCAAAATCATTTATTTCCCAATGGAATGTTAATAAACCAAGGACTCCATCAGAATCATAATATTCACATAATTAATTCTACACTTTATCCAAAGGAAAAATGGCTGAGAAAAATTAGCTATTGTGAACCACCCCCACCTCCAAAAATTATCAGGCAGATAGCAAACCAAAGGGTTGAGTACTGATCAGTGTCCAAAAGGAAACGTACTTTTTTTCTAGTTTGGCATTAGCACAAGTTAATGGTGTGGTGTGAACATAAGTATAAAAATATTAAGCAGTATTAAACACAGCTGTTAAATTCTGGAGCTGGCTAACCTGATGAAAAGTCAGTTAAAGGAAGCTTCCAATGCCCAAGCCAGTCAATGCAGTTAATCTGTACAATCAAGCCATTTCCAATCATGAATTTTCTAATTTGTACAATCAAGCCATTTCCAATCATGAATACTCTAATCATGAATTCTCCTAATATCACCCTCAGCAAAAGAAGTGTGGATTAGGCATTCAAATCTAAACATCAAGGGGCAGATAAAAACTACAACCACCTAAATTATTGCTCCTATCCCACTCTCAGGTGGAAAGAAGGAAATCTTTCTTCAGCTCTAGAGCATTAAGGAGTAGGATTTGGAGCTTTGTGACTGTTCTTTGCCTATTCCCGTCCCATTGGAATAGGCCCTCAATCTGGCCATGTTATCAGTGGGTGGCTGCTATTTTCCCCACGGTCTCAGGGTGGAAGATAAGGTTTTCATGGAGTTACCCAGAAACGGAGCAAGTAGGGCGTAAAGGGTGGCACAAAAGAGGAATAGAAGACAGAATGAGTCCACATAGCTTTACATATTTGGAAATGAAAAATCCAGGACGTAATGACTCCTGTGACTCTGAATGGCTCTGTGTATTAGTCTTTCAGTTTTCAAAGGGAGTAAATTATATGTGTGAACTGAAACTATATATCTTCTCCCAGTTCTCAGAATTGATCATTTATTTTACATCGCTCTTCAGTCTCTATACCAGTATTTTAGAAGTTGTCATAAGTAATTCCTCTAAGTGCTACCTCGCTGGAGTGGTACTGGAGCAGCAAAGTAGCAAAAGAATACTAGCTGGGAACACAAAATTAATTTTTACAAATTTATCAGTGGCACGTTATTTCTACCAGTCATATAATCAGTAGACTATATAGAAACAGAGGTACTCTAGGGTACCGTACTTGTGCTCTGAATAGCTGCTAGACATGCAGTGCACGGTGCGATGTGTGGTATCTCAACAATGCTTTTCAGAACAAGACTGTAACCTTAAGGTCATGATCAGAAATCACACATTTGAATAATCCATGAATGAAGACGGTGTGTGCGATTAAAAAATACAGTGCTTTCTAGTTAAAATGGGAGATAAGTGAAGGTAATGAAATGTGCACCATTTAAATAACAAAAGTATTGTGGCTATTAGAGATTCACTGTGCTGTTACTCTAATGGTATTAAGAGTTTGGAAGTACAGGCCGGGCGCTGTGGCTCACGCCTGTAATCCCAGCACTTTGGGAGGCTGAGGCGGGCAGATCACGAGGTCAGGAGATCGAGACCATCCTGGCTAACACGGTGAAACCCCATCTCTACCAAAAAATACAAAAAATTAGCCGGGCATGGTGGCGGGCGCCTGTAGTCCCAGCTACTCAGGAGGCTGAGGCAGGAGAATGGCGTGAACCCGGGAGGCGGAGCTTGCAGTGAGCCGAGATCGCGCCACTGCACTCCAGCCTGGGCGACAGAGCGAGACTCCCGTCTCAAAAACAACAACAAAAAAAGAGTTTGGAAGTACAGAGTAGTATTCCAGCTCTTGGAGCCTAGCCACAGGTTTCACAGATGCATCTCCATGCAGAAATGGCTGAAGCTTCCACAGCTAATCTGAACTTTTTAAGGGTTTACATGGCTGGGAATATAATTTTGTATGTATGTCCTTATGTATATACGCGTGTGTGTCCACTAGTTTTTTGCTTGAATGTTTATCATTCCTGTCACTTGCAATTTAAATATTCCTAATAAATAGAAAAATCCAAAGACTAAGATTGTGATCCTTTTTATGTCTATGGTATATTATGAATACAGAGACCTTGTGCTTTTATTGGCGTAGGAATCATCTTGCCCTAATATTAATATTATGAAATCAAAAGGGTAAGATTCCTAACATCCCACATAACACAGCAGACAAACTAAAGTTTTAATCTAGCTTTGGCCCTTACAAATTTTGTGCCCTACGGCAAGTTACATCTCGCTTAGATTTTTTCATTTTAAAGTGGAACTATCTGCATGGATGTTCGTACATGCTATATAACACATCCTATTCCAGAGCCACCTACCATCAGTTGAGCTCTAAATGGTAAATGCCACAGTGAGAAGCAGACAGGAAGGGGCGGAGCGCCAGCGGCGCCCGGGGCTACGCGCCGCACTGCACCGAGCGGCGGCAGCGGCAAGCTTGGGTGTGAGCCCGGGAGCCGCTTTGCTTACCGTCCTGCCGGTCCCAGCCGTCGCTAGGAGGTCCGCGGGCCCTGCGGCAACCCTCGCTACAGACGCTGGGCGGGCGGCGACACCTGGCTCATGGCCCCCGCGGCGGCTCCGTCCTCCTTGGCCGTCAGGGCCTCAAGCCCCGCCGCGACACCCACCTCGTACGGCGTCTTCTGCAAGGGGCTCTCCCGCACCCTGCTCGCCTTCTTCGAGCTGGCCTGGCAGCTGCGCATGAACTTCCCGTACTTCTACGTCGCGGGCTCGGTGATCCTCAACATCCGATTGCAGGTACATATTTAGAGCCATGACTAAGCTAACGGCCTCCGGGGCCAGCATGATGGCCGACTCCCAGGGTCCGTTGCGGCGCGGCGGAGCAGCCAATGGCGAGCCCCACAGTCTCGCGAGAGTGCTCAGGCGCTCTTCGTGGCTGCCCTCTTAGCTGCTAGCGGAGCTCCTCAGGGGGCGGCCGGGAGCCTACAATCCCTAGAAAGAGAATACGCTGTTCCGGAAACAGAACTGCAGTTAAGACCCTCGAAAACATCTAAGAAAGTGTGCATCCTAAAACACCTGACGAATTTCAGAATGTGACAAAGCGCAGAGGATGCATTATTTCAAAACAAAACAGAAGGCTAAAATTTGCAGGAAAAAGAAAATCAGTAAACCGGGAATCCTCGGACTGGATTGTAAGCAAGATTTCAATGAATAAGAAGCTGAAGGTATTAAGGCTGTGATATAGAAGGTACATATTTCATCCCACAAGAGAAAACAATAATAATCAGAAATTTTCGGTGAAAAAAACGCAAAACTGTACAGGAAAATCATCCTCCAAGTACCAGACATAAAATGCTGCAAGCTTTTGAACTAATGGCGAGAGTGTAAGAAAATGGGCTCTACTTCAGTGATCCTGTGGCAGGACGTGGATCAAGACTTGGAACCGCAGAAAACGAAATCCCATAGTAGCACAAAGCTTGGCTGTTCAGTGAATAACATTTAAATAATCGTAAAATACAAATGTTGTTTATGGTTTTTATTGTTTAAGGGCATACTTAATTATGGTTACAAAGTGGAGTGCAAATGTTATTTACCATGTTTTAAAAATACAGCCGGAAAATACAAGTGGGAATGTTGAAGGAGGGCGGGGGAAGTAAATGGAATGGGGGTTATGTCCTTATAAAGTGGAAACTTGAAAGGTACTGTCTGTTGTTGAGTGGGGAAAGACATTTTTATTACTTACAGGGTAGCCATAAAGTTTCTAAAACGGTAATATATTAAAGAGGGAGAGTGGTAGGGGAGAACAGTATGAAGTCAACAGGAAATGGCTAAAGATGGAGAGCTCAGGTAGAATAGTTTAAAAAATGAAAATTGATAGAGTACCTGGTGTATTTGAATACAGCCTAGAGAGCTTTCATTTTCCAAAGAGTGTGGGGATAAATTAGTGAATGCATATTTTTCAAAATTAAGAAAACAGAACATATAATTTTGAACGCTGAGAAAAATAAAAATTTAAAAACTACACTGTATACACGGTATACCTCAACTGTGAATAATAGTAGTCATGTAAAGTCAGTCATAATTATGTAAATACTGAATACTGATTTTACAACAAATGATTCTATAACGCTGGGAGGATGGGAGAAAAGAGATGTGTGTGTGTGTAATGGTGGTGAGCCAATCAAGATCTGATATAGAAAAATGCAGAAAAAGGAGTATACACATGTTTTCTTCGGATTAAAAAAACTAATAATAAATCACCAAGAGTGGTAAAGTTTTAAATCAAGATCTGATATAGAAAAGTGCAGAAAAAGTAGTATACGCATTTTTTTTTTCAGGAAAAAATTAACTAATAAACCACTAAGAGGGGTAAAGTGTTAAAATAGTTGCATTGTTCTATATTCCACTCATTGTGTCCAGCAAACAGTGTTCTATGGCTTTAAGTAGTAAGCATCTTGCCCCGTCCAACACCATGTCTGGCCTAGGGTAATTGTTCTTTCTAGTCTTTATTCTTTGTCTCCAGCCAAACTCCATTTGGGCACATTCTCCTATAGCCTTTTCTACCTGAAGATACTCTGTGTTTTAAAGCTAAGCTTAGGTGGCGCTTTTTCCATTAAATTTTTCCTGGATTCCACTGACCATATAGGAGCTCACTTCTTTTAATCCATAAGGCCATTTTCATAGGTTGCCTTATTTTTCCCTAATCGTGCATCAACTGTCTGTTTTATATACCCAAGACAGGTTTCCTAGACTGCGATAAGCCAAAACATTTTAGTCTAAAATATCAGAAGTGTAGTTTAATCAATGAAATAGTAATACCAAGGGATTTAGAATCGTGGACATCACTGTTTCCCAGAGCACTGATGTCCCAATTTGTAACACAAAAGACTGTCTAGTCTTAATCCTGAAATGGTGACAGAGTAGGATGCTCCATTTGGGTGACTATGTGAACATATTCCTATAACTTTTTTCCTCACATCAGTCATTTGTTAAACCGAAGATGAAGAAACAGACTTTGTATTTATTACATCCTCCAACATAATTGGCAGCTCTGTGAGGGAAGACACTATATCCTATTCAATTTTACACCCGGTAGTAACAGTATGTGTGTGTACTGTATATATACATATATATATACATACACATATATAAATTTAAGTAGTAACTATATATGTATATATGTATAGTTACTACTTACTATATATGTATACAGTATATAAGTATATATGTATAGTTACTACTTACAATATATGCATAAAGTTACAGCTTACATTTACCTCGTAATATATGTATATATATATATTAGGAGTTAAATGTATTAGGAGGTAAATGTAAACTCTGTGGTTTATCATTTATTCACAATTGCTCTTAATTCTTGGGGTATAGTTTGCCTCCTACATGATGCAATTCAGTGAAATTCCCAGGAGACAAAACAAGATTTTGACCTGAATAAACCACTTATTGTTGTAATTCACAAGTGAGTTTATTCTTCCTGGCACACTTCCAGGTAATATCCATTAGGCTAAGGATTTTGTTTGTTCACTGTTCTATCCCCAAGCCTAGAGCACTGCCCAGTGCGGAATAGCTAATAAATATTGTTGAATGGATAGATGAATGGCAATTTTGTTGGTATGCTCTACATAGTCAGCAGTCAATAAAGGAAACATATATTCGTTCCTGATAATAAGATGATTCACTTTATTGCCCATAAATTGGGCTTTTTCAGGCCATCATGCACGTTGATTGATCCAGAGATCCCTCAAGCATGAAAAAGCAGAGACATAGGTGGTATAGTTATTATCAATAGAGATAAGAAATGTAGCTGGCAAAAAAAAAAATGGGAAACGATGCGTTACAGCTTATTTTAACTATAAAAGGAAAACAGTGAACATAGCAACATATGTAACCTAAGGGATAGGGGAAAAGTTGTTTTTTTTTTTTTAATTCTGGGTAAAAATACATGTGATTACTTGACAAATAGCATATCATTACCATCAGCATCATTTTTAAAATATATTGAGTTTTTAATACCAGGAACTATGAAAAACTATTTATATACATGAGCTCCGTAATTCTCACATATACCCTGTGAGGAAAACATTTTTATCATTTTTCAGAGAAGCAAACCGGGATTTAGAGAGGTTAAGTAAATTCCTAAGGTCATGATAACCAACCAGACCTCAAATGAATCTCCAGTAATTCCTAAAGTTATATTTCATAAGGAGTTCAATTTTCTTAAATGTGTAGATAATTACAAATAATTCTGTTTCTCAAATTTCTGGACAGAAATATTACCTGGGTAATAGTTATTTTTTTTAACATAACTATTGAGGGTCTTTCATACTAAAATATAAATATTTAACATGATTTGATATGTAAGTTCAAGTATTTTATACTCTCTGCAGCCTTAAACCTATTGGCTTATTTTATTAGAGGGTTGGTGGGATTGAGGGATATGGGAGCAAAGGGAGAGAGAGGAAAGAACGTTGTCCTCAGAATGGAAGGGAAACACTTTCCTGTGCTACCCAGAGTAGAGATCAGACAATGTTAAATTTTGAAGCCATGTCTGTTCCTGTCCTGAGGATCCCTAACTAAATTTTGTTAGAAAATCTTGCAGTTTGCTTTTAATGGGAGATCTTTCTGGCAGGACATCAATAGCTTTTGATAGCGTCAAGAAGAAAATAAAGTTACATGCAGAAGCATAAAGGGGTAGGATGAAAGTTGAGGAATATAGGGACAAAAGATGAGGGAAAGGAATATCCTAATACTTGGAAGTTTGAGCATGGAAAGTAGTCTAAAGACGACTTGGGAAGTTCCAAGAAAATGAACCAAGAAAAGAACCTCTGCAAGAACTATGAGAATTCCCAACAATTGGGTTGGATTGATTCATATTAGTCTATTACTTGGGTTACCTTGAGTGTGGGGATTCTTCTTGCAGTTTTAACACTTGTACTATGGTCTGAATGTGCCCCCCAAAAATTCACATGTTGGCATTTAACCCCCAAAGTGATGATCTCAGGAGATGGGACCTTTGGGAGGTGATCAGGTCATAAAGATGAAACCCTCGTGAATGGGATTAGTGCCTTTATAAAGGAGACCCCAAAATAATTCCCTTACCCCTTTTGCCATGTAAGGTTATAGGGAAAAGTCATCTATGAACAAGGAAATGAACCCTCACCAGATACCAAATTTGTGAATGCCTGGATCTTGGACTTCCCAGCTTCTAGAACTATAAGAAATAAATTTCTGTTGTTCATAAGCACCCATTTTATGGTATTTTTTATAGCAGCCTGAACAAACTAGACTTAATAGGATTTGCTCAGCAGGATTACCACCAGGTCAAGTCATGAGATCTTTTCAAAATATAAGTAAACCTCCCCTTACCCCTACTCTCCACAAATACAAATTTCAGCAGTGCTCTTGGGACAACTAAAAGGCCCAAGGACCTTCCCAAAAGCCTACTACAAATGAAGAAACTATGGAAGTCTTAGTAGCTTAATTGCAGGACATCCCTGCCAGTTTCTATCCTGATTAGGGATCTGCAATGAACATTACAAAATCTTCACCATCTCCATGGCTTTCAACACCAAGCATATGGACTTAGCCACTGTAAAATAGTGGCATGCATCAATGAACAATAAAGAGAAATGGAGATCATTCATATTATTAGTGAGGGAAGTTGGGTACAACTTTTCATCAGCCAAAAAGAGGGAGAAAAAAATCACACCACCAAATAATGAAATACTGTAACTAAGATCATTGGCAGAGAATTAGAGATTATGTTCAGCAGATTAAAAAAAAAAAGAAAACAGCTGTGATCATGCCACTGCACTCCAGCCAGGGCTGCAGAGCAAGACCCTGTCTCAAAAAAACAAAAAGCCAAAAATACGAGATGCTTAAAAAAAGAACTGTTGTTCAAGAGATCATTTTCACTTTTTAATTGGTTTTTGAAAACTGTGAAAGTATCTCAAACTGAAGTCTAAAAGGAAAATAATAGAAGCTTCAAAGTTCAGGGGCCAGGTTATATCTATATAAAAGGGAAGCTAACTTATTTCCAGAACTGATTCATTTATTAAACATGGGGCTAAGGAATAGAGGTGGCAATATACAAGTCAGGATAATGCCTTTGTCTTCTGAAGCTGCATCTACATTGGTGCCCCTCAAAATAGCTAAAATTGAAAATAGTTTATCTGTCACCTGGGATTTCTTCTACAAATAACCTTCCCAAAAAAATATTGCCTAACATTTTTCTGAATTTATCAAGCCAACCATCTGATCAGTTTTCTAAATGAAGATTTATTCTTGGCAATAATCTAGCTCAGGGCCTAGGTCTTGTACACAGCATTAAGCAATGTAACAGATGAGTGCACTGGAAGTATGGATTTGCAGATGGCCTCCTTGTTTCTGTATTTTAATTAAGGAAGTCTCTAGCTCAAAGGACATGAGATTAAGGGCAGCAGCAAACCATGTGAACTATCAGAGATTCAACAGAGACAATCACGCCCTCTGAAATATGTATTGATCCATGCATATTTTCACTAGGATGTTTTCTTTGAGTAAAGCTAAGGACAACATGGCTTGCGCACCCAAAATATCTTCTCATCTTAAGTTCTAGGCCTAAGGCAGGGCTCAGGCATCAGCCGTTTTTGGCATTAGAAACAGGTTATTCAGGTTATTGGCAACTCTTCTATAAATCAACTGTGTGACCAAACTGGGTTGGGGGGAGGGCAGGGGCGGGAAACTCAAAAACTCTCATGACATCAAGACTATAAACTTACTTTAGGGGAAAGCAATTGGCAAAAAAAAAAAAAAAAAAATGTCGATCATTTTCTTTTCCCAATTATTTGTTCCCAGGATAGGATA